>NC_000006.12:12029696-12181212 GCF_000001405.40 Homo sapiens
TCTCCAGTATCTCCTTTTCTTTCTCCTTTTATGCTATTATTGTGATATATGCTTAATCCCTTTATATTATAAAGCAGGTTACACAGTGTTAAATCACTCCTTTACACAATCTTTTTTAAAAATAATTTAAGAGAAGAAATGAGAAACATACTAATAGGTCTTACATATACCTACATATTTATTGTTTCTAGCACTCTCCTCTTCTTCTATGGATTCAGGTTATCATCCTGTACCACTTTTATTCAACCTGAAATATTTCATGTAGCATTTCTTGAAAGTCAGGTCTTCTAGCAGCAACGTTGCTTTTTTAATATTTATGGAATGTCTTTATTTTTCCTTCCGTTTTGAAGCATAATTTTCTGGATATAGAATTCTTGGTTGATAGGGTTTTGTTGTTTTTCTTTCTGAACTCTGAACATCCACTATTCTCTGGCCTCTGTTACTTCTGAGAAGTCAGCTGTTTATTGTGTTGTGTTTGTTTTCTTTGCAAGATGAATTGTTTCTTTCATGGTTCTTTCCATTTGTTTCTCATCTTTCTCCAATTTGAATGTGATGTGCTTAGTTGTGGATTTCTTTGTGTTTATCTTATTTGGAATTTTATTGAACTTCTTGGATATGTAGATCAGTATTTTTGTTTTATCAAATTTGGGGAGTTTTTGGCCATTATTTCTTCATATATTTTTTCTGTACCTTTCTTTTCTCTAATCACACATTTATTTTTATGTTTGTTGTTCCACAGGTCTCTGAGGGTCTGTTAATATCTCTTTAATTTTTTTCTGTTCCTCAGATTGGATACTTTTCATTGAGCTATCTTCAAATATATGGATTGTTTCTCGTACCAGTTCAGATTTGCGGTTGAGTCCCTCTAGTAAATTTTTCATTTCACTTACTTTACTTTTCAACTCTAGAATTTCTATTTGCTTCTCTGTCTCTTTTTAAAATAATTTCTATCACTTTATTGAGATTCTATTTGTTGTTATAATCATACTTTAATTCTTTAAATATGGTTCCCTTCAGTTCTTTGAACATATAATAGCTACTATGAAATCTCATCCTATTAAATCCAGCATTTGGGGATACTAGAGATACTTTCTATTGACTCAATTTTTCCCCTGAGTATGGGTCACACTTTCTTATTTCTCTTCATGTCTCCAATTTTTTGTTGAATATTTTACATTTAAGATAATAGATTGTAGCAACTGTGGATTCTGATCCTTGCTCCCTTGTGAGTTATTTTTTGGTTTAGTAGCTTTTCTGGACTAAATATGTGAAGGCTATTTCTCTCATGTTGTGTGGCTGCTGATGGCTCTGCCCAGGTTTGCTTTCGTTTGTTTGTTTTTTTTGTTTTCTTATGTTTTACTTTAAATCCTAGCTTCCTAGAGGGTTACCCTGTGTAGTTTTGTTTTAAAGCCAAAGGTAGATCAGAGCTTAATTGTGAGTCAGTCTGAACCTTGACTCTCTGCCTGTGGGTCTGTGTGTGGGCTGGGGAGCACTTTCAAATCACAGGCAGTTCTCACATCTGTCCTGGCTTTAACTTTCAGCTGGACCCTCTTATGTCTTCTTTGTGTGTGTATGCCCAGGCTCTGTGGCCCAGGAGTGTGCAGAGGTTAGGAGACTGCCCTAGTGTTGGTGACACATGTGCAGAGTCTCTGGTTAACCTGGGATACATGTGGAGAGTTTACCCAGCACACTGTAAGTGGCTCACCTACCAGAACTCCCTAGTAAGTCCCTGGCTAGTCTTCTAGTCTCTTGCTTGCCCTCAGCAGGACCTCAGCCTCAGGCGGACATTGCCATTGATTTTCTTGAGTTCTCTTGCTATTGGGATTGCCAGTTTAACTGACTGTGCTCCAAATCTGGTGAACCTGGCCTGGCAAAAGCAGTGAAGTTGCTGCTTTTCCCAGCTTTCCCCTCTTGGTTGAACCCTGGCACTGACAGAACTGGGATAGGGAGACAGGAACAGCCCCGGGCAAAAAATGCCAATGTGCTAGTCTTACCTGCAGTTCAGTACTTTCCACGAAGAAATGCCCCTCCACGTGTATACGGCTTTGGGTGATTGCCAGAGCGCTGACAGTGGTGGTTCTTGACAGTTTTGTGTGGCTTTATGGTTGCGTTTTGTGGAGAGGATTTGTCACTCCTCACTTTGTCCTTGCTGCATTTCCTATGAATGTGTACCATTCTGTCCTCCTGTGGACCGTGAATGTGGACCATGCTGTCCTCCTGCAGCAGGCAGTGTCCTGGGCCCTCATAACATCAAGTTGCACAGTGTGTTTTGACAGGCCTCTTACTTAAGACTGCATGTAGAGACCCATCAAGCTGGCAGAAAATCTAGATGCTTTTTAAAAGATACAAATAGTGTGATGATTGTGTTTTTAAAATACTGTTGCAGGCATTCTGCATATTTAAAATCCCTACTACTGATGCAAATGTTAGTTCACTGATAACCTTTTTTTTTTTTTTTTTTTGAGACAGAGTCTTGCTCTGTCGCCCAGGCTGGAGTGTAGTGGCGCGATTTCGGCTCACTGCAAGCTCTGCTTCCCGGTTTCACGCCATTCTCCTGTCTCAGCCTCCCAAGTAGCTGCGACTACAAGAGCGCCACCATGCCCGGCTAATTTTTTGTATTTTTTTTTAGTAGAGACAGGGTTTCACTGTGTTAGCCAGGATGGTCTCGATTTCCTGACCTTGTGATCCGCCCGCCTCAGCCTCCCAAAGTGCTGGGATTACAGGCGTGAGCCACCGCGCCCGGCCATGATAACTTTTATATTTAAACTTCTATAACTGAAAGTGTGGTTTAGTGGGGGAAAAAAAGCAAGAGTTTGGAGTTTAGAGTTGTGGGATTGGGATTGAATCCTGGTACAACTTACTAGGTCTGTGATTGACAGAATGTTACTTAATCTCTCTGAACCTGTTTTCTCATCCTAAATTGGATATAATATTCCTACCTTATGGGTTATTTTGAAAATTAAATATAACATAGATAAAACTGGTACTTAGTAGCTATTCAGCAAACGTTTGTTTACCCACCCAGAAAGTTTGTGGTTGTGGGTGTGTTTTTGGCAACTTTTTCTTCACCAGATTTATCTTCTTGCTTTACCTAGCTTTGCTTCTTAACGTTTTCTCCTTTTTGTAGAATAATTTTGCTATTTTATATACTAACTGAAACATACAGTGTATTTCTTTCAGGGTACATTTTGGTTGAATGCTCTTCCCAGATATCCAAAATTTCCCAACATTTCATAGTGATTTCCTTTCTAAAGTATAAATTTCATGTGCTTACAAGTGATGATGAAACTTCACTGTTATTTTACGGTGAATGAACTCATATGTAGACGGTCCCTGACTTAACCAATCGTTTGTCTTATGATTTTTCGACCCATACAACCATTCTGTTTTTCACTTTCAGTACAGTATTCAATATGTGAGATATCTAACACTTTAGTATAAAAGAGCCTTTGTATTAGATGATTTTGCACAACTGTAGGCTAATATAAATGTGCTAAGCACATTGAAGGTAGGCTAGGTTGTTACAATGCTTGGTAGGTTATGGTGTATTAAATGCATTTGACTTATGATATTTTCAATTTATGATGGGTTTATCAGTTCATGACCCCATTATAAGTAGAGGAGCATGTGTGTGTGTGTGTGTGTGTGTGTGTAAAAGATTATCAGGTGGAACATCTGTACAATGAGAGACAGTAGCATTGTTATGTCGACATTCTCAGGCCATGATTAGAAGGGGCAAAGCAAGGTCTCTAAGAGAGATTATCAAAGAATGTACTGAGAAACGTTCTTGAACCTTGCTGGACCACAGCCCACTCTGCTCAACCTCAGCGGTTCTCTTCTGTGATATTTAAGTTAATATGGAAGAAGTGGTAACTTTGGTTACATCAGGTTTTAATGTCACCTTTAGTTTTGGGGTGGACACAACTGGACTCCAGTATGTCCAAACCCTCTTAATAATACTATATTTTCATAGAGTTTTTAGAACTGAGAATTGTATAGTTTATCTTACTATTTTACTTACTGACAGAGTACCTTATTCTAGAATACTTTTTAAAAAAATATTAAGTTTTTAAAAGCCAAATCTCTAGACACTTCTTGTTCCTTGGAAACCTTCTTGTCTCCTGAAGAGTACATTTGTTGTGGATAGTGTGTTCCTCAAGAGTAATTCTTAAACTAGTTGGATAGGTTTAAATTTCGCAACATAGGCATTGCAGAATTTAGACATACAGGAAATCAGGATTCAGGGCTCATTTGTTGTAAGGTGAAATCAGGAAGTCTCTGGTTAAAGATTGGATGGGATTAAGCAGACGTTTTGTAGGCAGTCTCTTCACCCTGAACTGCAGCCGTGTGCTGTCTGGAATGCGGTCTGACTTAATAACCCACCCATGCCAGTAACATACATGATAGAGCAGAATTGCTGTAGTTAAATAATGGATTTTATAAACATTAGATAGTCTTTTAGCACCTGCATTTTTTTGTAAGAGTCAAGCAAGAAGTTATGTATGTATGCATTTTGGTCTGAATCTTGTACTTTTGTTAAACACTGATATAAATGTGTCTCTTGAGGCTGGTCTGTAACAGATTTATAAAAATGATTACTGTTTCTTAGGCTTTAAAAATCATATTTTTGGCAACCGAATCTATGAGTTTTATTAAGTAAAAGTTTAGACCTTTTATTCTTTGCAGATTGGATAATTTTTCTTGTACACTTAGCAAATGTTTGATAAATAGCCCTGCAAGGCACTGTGCCTGCTGAGTGCTGTGGAGGTTACCTGAGTGACTCTGGCATACATTGTAGCCTCAGCGACCCTGACGCTGCAGTTCAATAGGAGAGTTAAGACAAGCCCAAAACTGTAACAGCTGCAAAGTGATAAGGGCTATGGAACAATGAAAACTGTCAGGAGAGACTGGGAAAGGAGAACAGTGTTTTCTGATTCCATGTGAAAGCTACCCCCTCAACCCCAAGAATTCTCTTTACTTTCTGTGCCCACATTGAGCTAATTCTCTAAGTCCCAGTTTCGTAAAACCTATGCATGTATTTCTGATTTCTTCTCATTGTGGGTACTTGAAAGAGAGGAAAAAGGAATTTGGGGTCAGAGACTTGGGTAAGGAGAGTAACCTGGTCAAATAGTGTGGTTTCTTGACCTGGGCGTTGTACCAGGCTGTGTGTGGCATCCTGATCTGACATGCCACTGAAACAGCCTGGAAGTGCAGGATCTCAACGAAAATGTAGTTGGAAAAATAATGCGGGTAAGCTTGGGGCTGGCAGCATGTTAGAATTGGGAAAAATACCATTTGTGTAAATCAAGCGCTTGGTACCAGATGTATGAAGAGCTACTGACACCTCATGGATGTGGATGTTATTATTTCTGGTTACGGAAAGTGTGTATGTGTATGTACCAGGATCTATATATGGTGGGTATATGCACATGGTCTTGGCTAAAATTGATCTATGAGTTTAATCTGTGACAGAGAAAGCTGTTCAGTATATTCCTCAGTTGCTTGAAAATAAACTTGGAGTGTATCTGTTCAGGAGTCACAGATTAATCTTTCTAAGTGTATCCTGATTTGTCTGACAGAATTCTGCAGATAGGACTTACTGGAAGTGAAGAGCAGGTGTCATGTAAATGATGCATTATCTTTTTCAAGTTTAGATGCATACTGTTTGAGGAAAAAACTGCAAGCATGCTTTTTCTTCTTTTTTAATGAAATAAGAATAGTTCAGAGTGGTGGAGTGTCAGGACCCATTGATAGGTGGGTCTTTCTAGAAAAATCTAATTTCAATGAAAAATTACACATAGTACATTTTGCTTTTTATGTATTCCTTGTACTCTGAACCTGTGTGTGTATATCAGCAAAATTTGTTGTTTCTGAAATGTACTTCTAAAGTGAATCTTATTTTTTAACATTTAATCGTTTTAGAATTATTTGTATACCCACATAAGCAGATACATAAACAGGGAAGGATCTTTTAAATATGATGTTGGGATTAACGGAGTGGATGTTTGGAGGGGAAAGTACTGAAATTCATCCCACAAATCAACATACATTTTCGAGTAGATATGTAGAAAATCAATATATAGAAAGTAGGAAATATAGAAAAACATTGAGATTTCATTCTAGGGCTTAGAGAATTACAGTCCAGAAACAAAAAGCATGACAGATAGAAAAATATAAACTGCTTATTTCAGAACTAGTATGAAAAAGGTAGCCTTTTCTAATACGTAAGAAAAGGTACAATAGGTAAATGGACAAAGGGAATTACAAATGCTAAAGTATTATATGGAAACATCGTTCTCTGTAATAAGAAAAAATGGAAACAATGTGGAGACAATTTTTATTTACCCACGCATTTGCTATTTTAAAGAAATGGCACCCAGGGCTGCTGAGGTTGTGTGGAACAAGTATACTCATTTATTGCTGATGACATAGTAGAGCTTTAAAGGGTTTTATGTCTTGAAATTTATCCTAAGGAAATAATTCAGCTGAAGCAAAAAGATATTTGTTCAAAGAGCTTGATTTTGGTGTTATCTTTAATAGCAAAACAGTAGAAGTGCCTTAAATGCCCTTCAGTGCAGACTAATAAATTGATCTTATGCTCTGGCAGACATTAAAAATGATAATTTTTGAAATCCTGTGGAAACATGAAAAATGTTCATTATATGTAAAAATCCACGTATGTATAGGATATACAATTGTATGGTCTTTGTGGAAATACTTTTGTTAGGGTGACAGCAACATGAGAATTTTAAGTAATTTCAGGCATCAATTGAGCATTTACCCTGTGACTCTTCAGTTAATTCATCAATCTGTGTTCTGAGCACTGCTGTAGGCTCCAGGGATGCACAGCCCCTTGGGTGATCTCTGTGGTCCTGTAGGCGGACACATAAGCAGCTAACAACACAGTATGAAAGAGCAGCTTTCTGGCTGAGTGCTGTGGCTCACGCCTGTAATCCCAGTATTTTGGGAAGCTGAAGCAGGTGGATCACCTGAGGTCAGGAGTTCGAGACCAGCCTGGCTAACATGGGGGAACCCCATCTGTACTAATAATACAAAAATTAGCTGGGTGTGCGTGGTGGCGCACGCCTGTAATCCCAGCTACTTGGGAAGCTGAGTCAGGAGAAGTGCTTGAACCCGGGAGGCGGAGGCTGCAGTGAGCTGAGATTGCACCACTGCACTCCAGCCTGGGCAACAGAAGATTCATCTCAAAAACCAAAACCAAAAACAAACAAACAAAAAACAGCCCTCCAGAGAAGATGGTGTGGAGGCTGGGTCTTGGAGAATGAATAGGAGTTGGCCAGATCATTTGGGTGGAGGCTGGCTGAATGGAGGCAACCATGGAAATAAAGTAGTGACGTTCAAGTTTTGGAGGATGTGGATATTTACAAGGACCAAGTTATCTCAGGGTGACCTTAACAGTCAGGAGCAGTGATGGAGGGGACGGAGTGGGTGTTGAGGCCCGGGTCTTGGAGTGGGTGGGTGTATATCGTATTTTGGTTGGAAGAGGAGTGCCTCATTTTCACTTCTTGCAGGTTTTTCATCTTTCAAAGTTCAGTATGTATTATTTGTCTTGTTAATCATGCCACATTCTCATAATTTTTGAGCACCTTTTTTGGTTGCCTGGCTATTTAGTAAACATAAGTGTAGAATCAAAAGAGATGTTTGTCTGTGTCAGTTTCTTCGTGTGTTTGCTACTGTGGTCATTCATATATTGATCAGCGATGATTTTCCTGAGACCGTTTATTGCATTGGTGGCAAAAATTAGATTTTCTGACTCCCAATCTGTGAAACCATATTCCTTTCTGCATTTTATTGCTGGACTGTAGGTTATGTTGAATATAAACATATTTGTGGATAATGTAGTTGTATGTGGCTGAGAGGTTGCACTGGATATTATGGAAAAGAATTTTGTATATGAAATAGATAGTAGCAGTGAGTGTTTTCCTGTTTTCTTTTTAAATGTTCTTCAACAGGGAGAATGAAATCTAAATGATAATTCTGTTTATTGTTTTTTCCTTTTTTTTTGTAGGGTCTTGCTCTTTTGCTCAGGCTGGAGTGCAGTGGTGTAGTTGTAGCTCACTGCAACCCCAAACTTCTGGGGACAAGCTAAGGCTTGTCCCCTTCCTGCTTTAGCGTCCCGAATAGCTTGGACTACAGGCACATGCCAGTGTGCCTAGCTACTTTTTTTTTTTGGCGGAGGGGAGGGGAGTTCCTCACTTTGTTGCCCAGACTGGTCTTGAACTCCCAGCCTCAAGTGAACCTCCTGTGTTGGCCCCCCAAAGCACTGAGATTACAGGCATGAGCCACCGCACCTAGTCTGTGGTTTTTCTTCTTCTTATTTTTAAACATCCTGTGCAGAAAAAAATTAAGGAACCTGATGTATCTGTTAGACATTAATACCGTGCAAATTCAGTATGTTTTAGTGTTTTGATCTATTGATATCCTTTCTATTGAAGGCAAGGAACAATAGTTATTCGGGGCTTTATTAGATTTTATTTAATGCTTTCATAAAGAAGCACAGATATTACTATTTATCAACTGTAATTTTTAATATTTGAGAACTATATTTTGGTGTAATTGTTTTTTTAATCCTGTGTATTTTATGCATTTTAAAACATTCTGAAAAGGGGTCCATCAATTTGGCTAAACTGCAGAGGCATACAGGGTACACAGAAAAAGTTAAGAATCATCCTCTGGATGGGCGCGGTGGCTCACGATTGTAATCCCAGCACTTTGGGAGGCTGAGGCAGGCAGATCACGAGGTCAAGAGATTGAGACCATCCTGGCCAACATGCCGAAACCCCGTCTGTACTAAAAATACAAAAATTAGCTGGGCATGGTGGCATGCACTTGTAGTCCCAGCTACTTGGGAGGCTGAGGCAGGATAATTGCTTGAAGCCAGGAGGCGGAGGTTGCAGTGAGCCAAGATTGCGCCACTGCACTCCAGCCTGGGCGACAGGGCGAGACTCCATCTCAACAACGACAACAACAACAACAACAACAAAGAACCAACAACAACAACAACAAAGAACCACCACCACCACCACCAACAACAACAACAAAGAATCATTCTCCATTCCCCAAACCCTAAAGCCAGGAAGGGAGTAAGATTAACTTTAGAAATTAATAAATAGAGTTTTGGATCTCTACTCTGCCTTTTAGGAGCTCTGTGGATGGGACGTTTTACTTCTGACTGTCATTCTCTGTGTTATAAAATGAGTATAATATATCTGTCACAGATTTGTGATGAGAGTTAAAATGGACACTTTATATAATATACCTGGCAGAGTAACAGGCACATAGAATGAATGTTGTTACCCCTTTGGTCCTTAGTCTTATCATGAACTAGCTATGTCCTTAGCCAAATTACTTACCACTTTTTGATCTTTGTTACCTATTTATCTACACTGAAAGGATTTAGATTTGTATATTTCTACTTCAGCTAAAAAAAATCTGTGATTATGTAAAAAACCAGGATTACCTTTTTCAAATTGGAATGCTTGGTCAGCTAAGCTTTTATTTTGTTGATTAAAGACATGCATATATCAACAGGCATTGTCTTTTGTGTCCATGCCACCTAACTTTTCTCTACCAGTTTTCTCTCATTAAATGTTTGTCAGTCACATTTGGTTGAAACCATGCTGTTTATCCAACGTCATGACTTAAAGTAAAGGACAATTTACTTAATTGTCTTAAATACCAGTCAGAGCCATGTGGAAGCTATGCAGGTAAACAAGCCTCTTTTTGGGGTTGGGTTGTAGGAACCCTGCCTTAGGTCTAATGAAAGTGATATTCTTGTGTATTTTCAGGGGTCATCCTCTGTCCTTACCTTCAGTTCCAGTAGCTCTTTAAACCTCATTTGTTCTATTGACGCCAAGTTGGTTAGAAGGTCATAGCGTTGGTTTGTGTGTAGGAGGTTAGAGGGAGGTCCTGGCAGAGGCTTATAATCAAGTAGAAGCGTAAAGCCAGAGTTCTTGATTGCAAAGAGTAGAAGTAGCCTCTTTGACTCAGGGAACGACCTCATTGGAAGGGGTGTCAGGTTGCTGTCATAACCCCCAACACAGGTGGATATCTGTGTTTAAAAGACAGTGAGGAACAAGGGGAAGAAGCTATGCAGCCAGGACAGGGGATATCACCACCCATGAGCAGCCTGGATCTTGGATGCTGCCTCCACAGGGAGCACTGGACCCCTGTGAGCACCTGCAGTGGTTCCCTGGCCGGAGTTCAGGCAGGGCGGGCATCTGGCCTGGCTGCCCTGCTGAGCAGGACTCAACAGCAGTGGAGTCCCCAACTGTGGGGCGAGGATTCTGATGCTGGGCGGTCGAGGGGAAATGTAAGCCCAACAACAGATGAAGGTTTTCTATAGATGGGCTCAGCAGTTGTTGGAACTGCTTATTATCTGTGTATGTGTGTGTGCCTGTGTGGGCGTGCATGCATATGCCTGCATTTTGGAGAGGAAGGGATCTGGGCTTTTATCAAAGTCCTGAAAGGTCTTTTGATCCAGGAGTTAAGAAACACTGTAATAAAGAGATTTAACTGTGTTCGAATCTTTGCTTTTCCACCAGGTGGTGCAAATCTTTTATGATGTTCATAGAGGTTAAATCCTCAAAAATAAGAATAATTTAAAATTGTGTAATTTTCTCTAAGAGTTTAGTCCTGTCACACAATGTGAAGCATTGTTGATCTGATTCTTGCTTTCCTTCTGTCTTTAATAAAGATACAGGTAGATTTACATATCTTTTTAAATACGTAACTATAGATCTAAATTATCTGTAGATTTTTGAGGCTGTACTACTGTTTTGTTTTTTGTAGAAAGAAACTGCAATGACTGGGAAAAACAGTAATATATTCAATATATTAATTGTTTCACACACTCTTTGTGAAACACCCAATTCTGATAACTTTTTGCTCAATGCATATAACTTGTGTGATTTAAATTTTTGAAGATAAAACTCATGTCATGTTGGTCAGTGTATTAGGCCGTTCTTACATTGCTATAAAGCAGTACCTGAGACTGAGTAATTTCTAAGAAAAGAGGTTTAATTGGCTTATGGTTCTCCAGGCTGTACAGGAAGCATAGCACTGGCATCTGCCTCTGGGGAGGCCTCAGGAAGCTTCCAATCATGGTGGAAAGTGAAGAGGGAGTAGGCACATCGCATGGCAAGGTGGGGGAGTGAAGAGTGGTGGGGGGGACGTGCCACACACTTTTAAACAACCAGATCTCAGGAGAACTCACTCTCACGAAGACAGTACCAAGCCATGAGGGGTGTGTCCCCATGATCCAGCCCCACCTCCAGCATTGGGCATTACAATACAACATGAGATTTGGGTTGGGACAAATATCCAAACTATCAGTCGGTCTGTTTGTCTCTTTTTCTCCTCTGAGCTGTTGACAGTTTGCTCTCTCTCCTGCATCTTTCTGTTTTTAGAAATAAATAGCCAGCCGGGCGCAGTGTGGCTCACGCCTGTAATCCCAGCACTTTGGGAGGCTGAGGCAGGCGGATCACAAGGTCAGGAGATCGAGACCATCCTGGCTAACATGGTGAAACCCTGTCTCTACTAAAAATTCAAAAACACTAGCCGGGCATGGTGGTGGGCACCTGTAGTCCCAGTTACTTGGGAGGCTGAGGCAGGAGAATGGCGTGAACCCGGGAGGCGGAGCTTGTAGTGAGCCGAGATCCCGCCATTGCACTCCAGCCTGGGCGACAGAGCGAGACTCCGTCTAAAAAAAAAAAAAAAAAAAAAAAAGCCGGAGAAAGTGGGTTGCTAATATGGGCTACTGTATACATTACATTCTAGCTTACATGTTTTTTTTTTTTTCCTTCCCCCCAACTTAAGAATTTGGTGTAGACATCCTTCATGTCCTTCAGGTCATTACATGCAGATTTTAATTTGTTAATTTGTTACATCATCTCTAGTAAGAATTTACCTAATTTAGTTATTTCTTTGATAGAACAAATTAATTGTTTGTTTGTTTGTTTTGTTGAGACAGAGTCTCGCTCTCTCGCCCAGGCTGGAGTTCAGTTGCTTGATCTTGGCTCACTGCAACCTCCGCCTCCCAGGTTCAAGCAATTCTTCTGCCTCAGCCAAGTAGCTGGAATTAAAGTTCCATGCCACCATGCCTGGCTAATTTTTTGTATTTTTAGTAGAAACGGGTTTTCACCGTGTTAGCTAGGATGGTCTTGATCTCCTGACCTTGTGATCCGCCCGCCTTGGCCTCCCAAAGTGCTGGGGTTATAGGTGTGAGTCACCGTGCCTGGCCAGTTTTGTTTTTTATTTCTTTTCAGTTTTGCTTTTATTTTTGCCATTACAAACGACTGCAGTAAACATCCTTACATCCTTTGTACATAGATTGTATTTGTTAATATTCGTACGCTTTTTTTTTTTTTTTTTTGAGACGGAGTCTCGCTCTGTCGCCAAGGCGGGACTGCGGACTGCAGTGGCGCAATCTCGGCTCACTGCAAGCTCCGCTTCCCGGGTTCACGCCATTCTCCTGCCTCAGCCTCCCGAGTAGCTGGGACTACAGGCGCCCGCCACCGCGCCTGGCTAATTTTTTTTGTATTTTCAGTAGAGACGGGGTTTCACCTTGTTAGCCAGGATGGTCTCCATCTCCTGACCTCATGATCCACCCGCCTCGGCCTCCCAAAGTGCTGGGATTACAGGCGTGAGCCACCGCACCCGGCCGCTTTTTTTTTTTTTTTTGAGACAGAGTCTCCCTCTGTTGCCCAGGCTGGAGTGCAGTGGCCCGATCACAGCTCACTGCAGCCTCAGGTCTCCCAGACTACTGAGATTATAGGTGTGTGCCCCCATACCCTATCTTATGCTTTTATTTTTATAATATATATTATTTACAGTGATTCTCTCAATCTATATTTTAGTTCTATTAGTGGTGCCTTTATTATACAGAATTTTAAAACTTTTTTGTAGTTGAATCCGTCAACATGTTTTCTATTCTAACCTGCAATTATACAAATAGCCCTTCTAAAGTTTCTTCTAATATTTCTAATAGAAATAGGTTTAGTTTATCAAATATTTTATTGATTCCAAAATATGTAGTTTTTTAAAAAACTTTCATATATCTGAAGTTATTTCTTATAATAGTGTATCATAACTTAGCTAATAGTACTTTTTCTTTCAGTGATACATAAAATAATGGTTTCTGTTATAATTGATGTTTTGAATTCAGCGTAATTGGTATTTCTTGCACTTAGATCTTTAATCCATTTGTACTTATTTTTGTGTATGTCATGAGGTTATGGAGTCCATTTTTCCCCCTACAAATAAAGCCGATTTCTCAGTGTTGTTTACTAAATGAAGAATCTTTTCTCGCAGAATTGCCATGTAGTAACTTCTGATATATACTTTGACTCCTGGCCTGATCCACTAATTTATTTGTTCCTGTGCTATACTCTTTTGACAACAGTGGTTTTTAGTTCTAAATTCCAAAAGGGTAAGTTTGCCTTCACTGTACTTTTTTATTTTAAACATTTCTTAATGTTTACTTGAAATACCCTAACTTTTGATTCTCAAGTCTCTGTTTTTACCTACTCTCTTTACTTACAAAATGAGTTGATCCAGGCAGGCATTTTATGTGATATTTATATGCGCATGAGTGCTCATGTAATGGCATTTCTCCTATTCCCACTTTCTAAGTGAAAATTTTTTTTTTTTTTTTTTTTTTTGGAGACAGAGTCTTACTCTGTCACCCAGGCTGGAGTGCAATGGCATGATCTCAGTTCACTGCAACCTCCACCTCCCAGGTTCAAGTGATTCTCCTGCCTCAGCCTCCCAAATAGCTGGGATTACAGGACAGGCTCCTGCCACCACAGCCAGCTAATTTTTGTATTTTTGGTAGAGCCGGGGTTTTACCATGTTGGTCAGGCTGGTCTCAAACTCCTGACCTCAGGTGATCCACCTGCCTCAGCCTCCCAAAGTGCTGGGATTACAGGCGTGAGGCACCGTGCCCAGCCGTGTAATTTGTTTTTTAAGAAGGTTCATGATTTTCCTGGATTTGTTCTTAGCTCGGTGGCACTGGTGGCTTCAGCATCAAGTGCAGAAGTTCTCGTTGAACCGACGCTGATCAGCGTCCCCTTGCTGTGTTGTTCGTGGCACTTCTGTAATTTATGTCTAGAGACTGTCTGGGTTTTGTGGGATTTCTAGCAATTTTAGTGTCTCTGTCCTCTGATGCCAGTGGCACTCCAGTCATTATGATAAAAGTTTCCACAGAGTTTTGCTTCAGAGTAATCTGAGGGGTGGATCTCGGGTGTGGAGGAGTATATGGAGAATTGTTGAAGATGGGGAGCGTGTGAATGTGTGGTTATTCTGGGCTCTCTTTTTAAATATACATTGGGAATGTTTATGTTTTTCAAGGCCCTGCATGTGTAAATGATGCTTTCTATGGGGTGAGCCTGCCCGTGTGGAGACCACTATCTTAAAGCCGTGAATGGCACGGCGCAAATGGGTTTCTGGGCTCCTGAATAAGAATTCTAAGTGAATCTCCACCACCCCCATAGAACGCTGTTTTAATCAATTATTGGGTTCTGTGTTAATGTTTTACTATTTTAGGGATCAATTTATGGACTTTTATGGACTGGTCAAGATAGCAACCAAATGTATAATTTTTCCTAAGGGGGAAAATATATTCTAATTTCTAAACAATAATATTTTCAGTTGAATTTTAAAACAGCAGTTTTTTTTGTTGGCACCAAAGGGTACCTTGGGAAGCTTTCCTTTCCCCACCCCTCACCATCCTATCGCCCTGTTAACGCCCCTCAAAGCAGTCAAAGCCAGCGCACCTGTGTACAGCTGAGGGCTTGCTGTCCCCCACTCAAAGCCAGTGCACCTGTGTACAGCTGAGGGCTCACTGTGCCCCCCTCAAAGCCAGTGCACCTGTGTACAGCTGAGGGCTCACTGTGCCCCCCTCAAAGCCAGCGCACCTGTTTACAGCTGAGGGCTTGCTGTCCTCCACTAAAAGCCAGTGCACCTGTGTGCAGCTGAGGGCTTTCTGTCCCCCATTCAAAGCCAGCACACCTGTGTACAGCTGAGGACTTGCTGTCCCCCACTCAAAGCCAGTGCACCTGTGTACAGCTGAGGGCTCACTGTGCCCCCCTCAAAGCCAGCGCACCTGTGTACAGCTGAGGGCTTGCTGTGCATGTGTGTTTGCAGTGAAGTGCCTCAGCCAGTTCCTCCTTCCTTCTCCAAGCTGACTGGACCCACATCCCTCCTGTGTAGACATTTTGGAGCCTCCGCTGTGATGCTTGCCTGTAACCCATCAATAGAGCTAAGTCAAATTTGCTTTTTAAGAAGGTTCATGTTTATTTTCTGGTTCTAGGGCTTCTGTGGCTATTTAGATGAGTTGTTTAGAACACTAGACTAATGAGATCACCAGGGTGATGAAACATTGTGTGGATCTTGGCTTTCTTCTAGCACAGTCAGCTCTGTTCCTAACCCTCGCCATCTACTGGGCATTTTTATTCATATGCTTGATCAGAAGTTGGCTTGGGTGAATGTGTGTGTGGATCCAAATACATCCACCGTTCATCTCAGAGAAGCAGCTCATCACCTGGGTCCTGGGAGGGTGCCCTGTATTGCTCACTGGATGGAGAGGCAGGGCAGCTTTATTTCACACCAGCTATTGGCTTCTGATACGTTAGATTCACCTGAAAGGAGGGTGGAGCATGGTGGGGTTTATGTTAACATGCCAGGGCAGATGTATTTGTTTGTATATTTCCTTTAACATCTCATGAGTTGGGCACATTTTTAAAGGTGCTGTTAGGGTAGAAAGGAGGCCCAGGACCACTGTGCTGCCAGCTTTAGAATACATTGTGAATGGTGTCTCCTGGGATTGTGCAGTGAGCACAGCCTTGAGATAGCCCATTAATTTCTTCAGTAAATGCATGTTGAGTTAATGCTTGGTAATGAAGTGTACCCTGCTATGTTAGGGAATGTTTGTTAGAGGTGATTGATTGTAACCCACTGGTGCCATGGAAGATATGTTAGCATGGTGATTTTAGCACATAAATGCCTCTGGTGACAAAGCTCAAACCTCATTTATTAAATGACAATTAAAATTGCCTTATAATTTTAACAATGTATGCCTGTTAAAATGTTCTCCATCACATCTGCAGTGGTGAATACGTGCCTAATAAAAATTTGATAATAACGAATAGTCCCAAATATTTGGAAGCCAATAATTGTCTTTATGCTTTATAATTATCTTTAAAATTCTACCCATTTGAAATCCACCTGTTTATATTTCTAATACTTGAAATTTTTTTGTGAATGAATGTGAGTCTGAAAAGAATGTTAAGTATCTTCTTTGAAATGTCAAGTGAAGAGATGAGATTCATGTAATTTAAATCACCCACAATTCACTGGGAGAAATTTTTAAATAATTTTAGCAATATAAAAACTAATGAGAAAAATTACACCTTGATTGTTTTAAGTATCTGAATTACCTTTGTAGATTTTATAGACTTTATGTTCAAAAAATAATTTTATGTGTTTACAAACACTTTGATATTCTAAACTTGAGTAGCAGTCTAAAAATTAACCATATGGTAATATTTTGTCTGTGTTATTAGGGATAATGGCCAACATTTATTGAGTTCTTACTGCATTTCTGGACCTGTTCAACTCTCATTACCACATTTAACCCTGCAAAAAAAGTCTTGTGGCACACTGCTATGTTCATTGTCCCCAGTTCAGAAAGAGGAAAGCTAAGGCCTATAGAAATGAGAAGCTGCAGCCCCCCTAGAAAGTGAATGTCAGAGCAGACACTGGAGTTAGAATCCTGGGTTGCTGGCCAGGTGCGGTGGCTCACGCCTGTAATCTCATCACTTTGGGAGGCTGAGGTGGGTGGATCACGAGGTCAAGAGATCGAGACAATCCTGGCCAACATGGTAAAACCCTGTCTTTACCAAAAATACAAAAATTAGCCAGGCATGGTGGCGCGTGCCTGTAGTCCCAGCTACTCGGAAGGCTGAGGCAGGAGAATCACTTGAACCCAGGAGGTGGAGGTTGCAGTGAGCTGAGATCGTGCCACTGCACTTCAGCCTGGTGACAGAGCGAGACTCTGTCTCAAAATTAAAAAAAAGAATTCTGGGTGGCCTCATCCAAAGCTTTACACTTCTTCTTACTGCCACTACACTGTGTGTGTGTGTGTGTGTGTGTGTGTGTGTTTGAGATGGAGTCTCGCTCTGTAGCACAGGCTGGAGTGCAGTGGCGTGACCTTGGCTCACTGCAATCTTCGCCTCCTGGGTTCAAGCAATTCCCCTGCCTCAGCCTCCCGAGTAACTGGGATTACAGGTGTCCACCACCACGCCTGGCTAATTTTTGTATTTTTAGTAGAGACGGGGTTTCACCATGTTGGCCAGGCTGGTCTGGAACTCCTGACCTTGTGATCTACCAGCCTCAGCCTCCCAAAGTGCTGGGATTACAGGTGTGAGCCACCGCGCCCAGCTGACCACATTGTTAAAGGCATAAAATACTATTCCAATACTTTTAGCAGTAATTTGTACATTAAATAAGTGACATAATTCTAAATGCCTACAAATATGTGTAAGTCTTGTAACGTTTTGGGACCATGCTAGTGTCAAGTGTAGCCCTTGTACAGTGATGTACATGAGCATTAAAAGACCATGCAGTTTTAAACGACTGGAGACATTTTGTCAGTGTCTTCACAGAGGAATCAGGAAGTTGGACGGTTGGCCAGTGGGTGAAATGGTGTTTTCGGAAGGCATAACTGGGCGAAGGGAGGAAGCTGATTTGCCTGCATGTGCTGCTACCTCGTGGTCCCCACGGTGCTGGGAGGGGAGACAGGTTCATGGTAGCCCTGGGCAGCCTAGGTCACATCGCGGGTCTCACAGCCACTGGAGCAGAGGTGCTACTCAGAAGCAGGTGTTCTGCCACAAACACATCTTCTTTCCGTCCTGTCACACTGCTGATTGCTGTTAAGAGTTTGGCCTTTCCCTCACTCTGCTTTTGGAGTGGGATTGGCTGAGGGTGTGGATGTTTCCTTCGGTTTTCACCCTTACGTTTCTTAGGCACTTCTAAGGGCACCTTTTTCCTGTGGATGCACCCGGTAGGTAGCTTTTTAATTCAGTGGTATTTCCATCATGAGAGATCGCTTGCAGTCATGGAACCCTCTTAGTTTCCTCGATAAGCTGGTCAGGAAAGAATTTCAGACCTTTGTTTTGGGTTCATTGCACTTGTCTTTTCAGAGCAGTACCCTCCTTGCTTTTCACATCTGAGTACTGAGCAGTTTGCGTGGTTCTGGCACGTGCCTAGAGGCCCTCTGAATTTGTAAGTGAGCTGTAGGCTCAACTGTTGCTGTTCCATTTTGCAGGTAGGATGCATCTGGACTCTTCTGTTTTTCACTAGCTTTCATGACCATGGGCTTTTCAGCTTCTTACAAGATTTCTGTTAAGCGGGCATCTCCATTTCAGCCAGTTCTTTGTCCCAGCTTCAAAAGTCATAAATTTTAGCTGCCATTGGGCCCAGTGATAAGAGTAGGTGGGCCATGGTGAAGCGTAAGGCCTTGGGAAGGCACTTGTGCGCCGTCCGCGGCAGCAGGGTATGTCAAGGCTGGAGAGTGGACACCTTCTTGCTCCTTTAGATAAGGGAAAGAACATTTGCTTGAATAAAAAATTAGGGTCATATTTTTCTGAACTTTGTCACCTAGACATTAAATGATAATTTAGAATTGAGAAGAGATGGCATACATTTCCAATACTCTACCTCTCTCCAGCAATTCTTGGCCTTCCAACCAATATGCCCATCATCCCACCCCAAAATCTTACCTTTTTTAAAATTTATTTTTTAGTAATCAAGATTCTACTTGTGAGTCACAGAGTATTTAAAAACATGCACAATCTGTTGTTCATGGTACCTGGATACACTCTCTAATTGAAAATTCAACATTTAAGGGCGAATACAGAATGCTTGTTTTTAAAAATACCTTTCCAGTTTAAAGAACCATAGAGGCTAAAACGAGATTGTCTCCTTTTTAGTATTACTCACATCAAAATTATTCAATCTTTGTGAAACTGAGATACAGGCTTGTTTTGTGACCCTTTCTTTCCAGTTACTGGCTCACTTTTGAGCAAAATGGTGAAGCTGTTCTTTCTGCTTGGGGACAGTTTTGTATTATTTTCTCTCTCCTAGTCTGCACAATTCAAACCAAAATCAAGCCTCAGAGTGTTTATGTGGTATCTACTGGGCACACTGGCTGCTTAATGCATTTTAATATGATGTTAGTAAAAGAAAATGTGGAGATAGTTACTCATTGGGCATTATGATGAGATTTTAGATTCCAAAGTCTAGCCAACTCTGGCTTACCCAAAGGAAAATAAAAGAGGTGAGAATACAGCAAAAGGTGGGTGTGGGCAGGGGGAAGAGTATGGGGTGATTCTCCCAAGCCTTTATAACCAGAACATTTATTATGGGGTGTGGGTTACCAAATAACAGGAACACCCTTGAAACAGGTGCTAATATGTTGAAATCTTTTTGGTACACAGAGGCTTGAGATTAATGACATTTCTTATGTCAGGATTCACCTGTTTTTAAGGTGCAGGTAGTGTTGGCAGGCCCCCTCGTGAGCAGCCTTCCTCTGCAGGGTTCTGACCCTCTCTCTTCCTCTCTCTAAGATTTGGCTACTGAGTGGGTCAGCACCTGGAGAAAGGGGATCTGAGTGGTGTTTTAACCCCTCAGGGAGCTTGTGGCGTGACAGCACTGGCTTTCTGTGTTCGGCAGAGTGTGTGAGACCTTGCGCGAGGAGGTGACCATCATGCCAGTTGCTCTGCCTGATCGGATGTGTCTCTTTAAATGACTATACGATATTAAAGTTAAAGGAGGGCTCTTAGATATTTAGATTTTGTCCAGTTCTCTGTTCACAAATCAACACAAATAATCAAAGAAGGTATTTTTCTGTCTGCTTGCTCAGATAATAAATGCTATTTATATGTAGAAAGAAAGATGGAGGGATGATTTACAGATGACTCAAACTTATTTAAAAACAAATTTGTGGATTTCCACTAATAAGCTTATACTTTCATGGCACACTTGAGTAGTTTTTATTAAACTTCCTTTTTCTCGTATGCTCTATTTGGGATTTCAACAATTTTTATTATGTAATGAGGGAATATTTTTGTTGTGAAATTTTTCTTCCTTTTTGATGTAACTGTTAGAATTTGATGAACTGGTTTGTAACATTAAAATGAAGATGAAAAATTACAAGGTATTCACCAAATGAATGTCACTTTCTGGGGTGTTGCTGGCGATGATATGGGCTCTCTGGAGCATATATATCCGGAGGTGCTCAGAGTCTGCCCCTGTTGCTCCTAAGAAAGACAAAGCCTCCTATCTGATCAGCTTTGTCCATGACTCTCTAACTTGTTCTTACACTGACACCATTAACTGCCCTAAATGCCAGGCACCTACTCCGCCAGCCCAGTGGAAACAAGCCTGTATTAGTAAACCGCGATTGGGTTTAGAATTGGGACTGTTCCACATGCTCTCTACTTGCCAGATAAGCCTTAGCATCCTCATCTGTGAATAACGAGAGTTCATGCCTGCCACACATGGGCACTGTAAAAATTAAACACCATCGGCCGGGTGCGCTGGCTCACGCCTGTAATCCCAGCACTTTGGAAGGCCAAGACGGGCGGATCATGAGGTCAGGAGATCGAGACCATCCTGGCTAACACGGTGAAACCCTGTCTCTACTAAAAATTCAAAAACACTAGCCGGGCGTAGTGGCAGGCACCTGTAGTCCCAGTTACTCGGGAGGCTGAGGCAGGAGAATGGCGTGAACCCGGGAGGCGGAGCTTGCAGTGAGCCGAGATCACGCCACTACACTCCAGCCTGGGCGACAGAGAGAGACTCCGTCTCAAAAAAAAAAAAATAAAAAAATTAAACACCATGGGTCCAGCTGGGCGACTCCCATCCTCTCCTCAAGAATCATAAACATCTTTCTTTGCTTTCAAGATTAGCTCTCGCAGTCGGGCCCTGTCAGGCCCCTCCAGACAGTCTCACTGTAGATGCCCTTGCTTTCTAGCCCTTGGCCTGGTGGGCCATTTGCTCATCCTAAGTAGGCCTTTCCTGCTTCCAAGTCTTTGCTCCTACTTTTGGGGGGTCTTAATCTCCACCTATTGAAATGTTCTATTGATGAAGGTAGAAGTGGTGGGAAATGGTATCGGGGAACCACAGGCCAGGCGCTAGGCATGCTCATTGCTACTGGGTTGGCCGTTGCTTCCAGGCCTGTTCAGTGGACGCTGAGTGCATGTGTGTAGCAGATACACAAGTGCATATATATATATATATATATATATATATATGTATATTAAAATAAATATCAGGACGACAGGGTTTTTACTTCACCTCTTGGATCTTATACTTCTGTCTCCTTTCTCTCACAGCGAGAATGCTTGTACTCCTGGAATGGCAGAATTACTTACTTGCTTTGATATACACAGCAGTTCAGACTACTAATGCCAGCACCAATACCACCATTTTTCTTTTGTCATTAGTTTATGTCCCACTACGGATATAGGATTAATGTATTTCACTGTCAGTCATTCTTCTCTGTGTGGTTATGCTACCACCTTATAAATGCAGGGTTCATTTGTCACATTTTATTTTTGATTTTTAGGAGTTTTTATTTAAAATTTTTGTTTTACAATCACAGAAAATATTTACATGACTCCAAAGTAGCATCTAGAAAACAAGATACTGTCAAAAAAGTCCATCTTCTATCTCTGCCTTCTCCCCTCCAGTAAGTAACCATTTAAGAATATTATGTTTTATCTTTCCATTTTTGCCTTTACTATGTGTGTGTATACATAGTGTATGTATGTAAATACTATATAATTAGTGCATTTTATTATTTCACCCTAATTAAATATAATATATAGATAAAATATAAATAGATACAGGTATCTTTACATGTTAACATGCAGTCTAACCATTTTTTTTGTTTCTCGGGAAGGGAGGTGGTGGGGAGGGTGGTACATGAATGGGTATTACTAAAATTACTTTATTAGGTGGGCTGAAGTTTTTATTTGTTTTTGTTTCTTTTTATATAAATCTTTATAAACGCTTATTCACTGTGCTTTTTACTTTTAGTCAGCTTCTCTTTCCATATTTACACTTGTCCATAATTATACTTCAGCAATCTTGGGAGAGAACCTCTGTGGCTTTCTGAAAAATTATTCTTTTATATAAACTTGCCCAGATGAGTTATAGGAGGAACTGTTCTCTCCAGTTTCAAAATGAGTTTACATACTGTGTGGGGGGACTTTCCAACTGAGGATAGCATGTCGTGGTGTGTGGTTAGCCAATACAGAGATCTAAGAGGCTGCACGGCTTTTGCTAACTTGTGAAACATGCCTTTAATTTTAAAAGCAGTCTTTGGAAATTCTACTTCCATTTGTACATGGCTTTAGATGAATAAAGACATGTCTTCTTACGGAATCAAGACCACGGCATATGTATACAGGCAGATGATGAATGTATTGATTCTTTTACTTCACCTTATATTTACTCAACAAGGAGACATCTAAATAATGAAATGCATCTTACTGGAACCACCCAAAGTAAGCCACTTAGAGGGCCACCTAGAGATAGCTTTGTAGAGCATGATGGAATATCTGAGGGTTTTTATTAATACATTTTAACTTTCTTAAACATCATTTAAAAAATTAATGTTCTAAATATACCTCCAATAGTACATGAAACTGTTACAATAGTGTCCGAACCTTATGTGTGTAAAGTTATTTGGTCAGTTTGGAAAATTTTGTAGTATTTGTGAAGAAGGGTACAAGAGCTAACATACATTGAGTATCTACTCTGTGTCTGGTGTGTTCCATCAGTCATCTCTTTCAGGAATTAAAACTATCTTATGAGGCAGATAGCACTATTTAATTTTTTGTTATGAAAGAGGCTGAGACTTGGAGAGTTGGAGTCTCTTGCCTTGTATCATGTACCTAGTAAATGGCCAAACTAGGAATTGAGCCTCAGTTTTGTCTGAAAACAAATTCTTACTGTTCCCAGTGTACCTTGTTACCACAATTTACTTTCTTTTCTTGTCTTAAAATGAAGTCTGAGGTTCTAATTTCACCAGATTAAGACTAGGTAACCATCTGTAAACTAGAAATTTTAATTGATAAAACAATCATTCCTGTGCTTTAAAAATGCAGGCTAAAATGGTTAGGAAATGCTATCTTTTGGAGACTTGTAGCAAATGCTCAGAAAGTAATTTCTTGGGGTTGGGCGGGGATTCTCATCACAGTTTTTAAAATAATTTGATTGTCATTATTGCAAAGCTGTGTAGTTCCTGTAATTGGAGTATTTGCCTTTACACTTCACAGCTATAATTTTCTTCAAGATCGGAAGACTTTCTGAGCAGCTGCTTTAATTTACATCTGTTTTGGGGAAAATATAACACATGTCCATAGTATATGGTGTTCATTATAAAGATTTGCAGTAGACAAGGTATAAAATTATTATAAATATTTCCCAATATGCTGTTCATGTGTGTGTGTGTGTCTGTGTGTGTGTAGGGATATTTTGTGGCATATATAGCCAAATTTTATTTGCTGTTCTTTAAACATTGAGATGTCCTGACTGTCAATTTGTGGTTTGTTTAAAAGAAGAGTGGGATTTTTTTCTAGTCAAGTTAGAAGATAAAGTTTACCAAGGATACAAATAAGAGAAGCAGTATAGAAATGTATTATAAGCCATGGAAAATTATTATAAGAAAACACCATTAATTATAAATTAACTAAAATTTTAGGATATGACAAAAAAAACATAAATAGGTACCTGTGAGTCTTAAGGGGCAAAAGACTAATAGAAATATTCTGAGGCCCTGTGGAGATGGTGTGGGGGAGTTCTGAGTCCATAGCCCTAGGTAAGGGCAGAATTGATTCCATGTCTTGACTGAAACCAAAGTGGAGGTGGGATAGGGGGATGCTCTGTTGGGGGCTGTGTACTGCTTAAGCTAGGATATATTTGGAGAGAAAAGAAAACATTAATTTTCCTTTCTCAATCATAGCAAACCCCTTCCCCCACAAAACAGAAATTGACAAGAGAACCCTAGAGATAAATCTGCCAAGCTCTGTTATATGGTGGCTTTCAGCCCTTTTCCAGAATAAATAGGATGAACATCTTGGTACATAACGTATCTTTTACTTAAGGTCATTATTTTTTTCAATAAAGAATATGACAAATAGGATAACAGAAAGGGAACGTACATTTGATCCTTCTCCATGTGGAAATGTGAGCTACAACTTGTTAGTATCAGAAACGTAGGTTATCTTTCCCTTCTCCATTTCAAATAGTCTGTCATATTTGAAAGCTAATAGCTTTCAGGCTCGCATTGCCCATAACTCTCAGCAACATATAAAACATGCCCACTCTGTGTTTATTTACTTTAATCTGTCAATTGTGATGCCAACTCAAGATATTTGGGATTATTACATTTGATTCACTCATTTGCCTGATGACTCTGCAAATAATTGGATTGATACCAAGGTTTATGCTGTGGAAACTATGGTATGAAAAACAGTATATAGTCTATAGGTATATTTACAAGAAAACATACACTATATGTTTGTTTCAGAAAATTTGGAAGATCCACATACAGAAGTTATAGTCACTCATAACTGTACCATCCAGAAATAACTACTATTAACAATTTGATATCTTTCATTTATATGTATACATATGGATATATATGCATATACCTACATATGTATCTAGACTATATATACATGCACATTTACACACATATACATATGAATATATAACTACACATGAATTTTAAAGCACAGTTGGCATCATACAGTATATCTTTTGGGATGCTCCCCTTAATATTATCTATTACTAGTATTTTTCGGTGTCATTAAAATTCCCTATAAACATCAGTTTCAAATGACTGCATAATATTGTATCACATGACTTCACCATAATGAACTTTTTTTGCTGTTATTAGTTTGTTTCCATTTTATTTGGTTATCGTGGAACCTCTTTTTTCACTTTTCTGATTAACATACATGATTTCATGACATAGCATATTATTTGATGTTGTGCTTCTTGCTCATTAAAAAATCTGAGCATTTGAGAAGAACCTAATTCAGGGTTGTGATATTCATTTGTATGTTTATCCTGAAATACTTCTAAGGAAAAAATTATCTACATGTTAAATACCCATTTTAGAAAGTTACCTTTGTTAGCTTCAGTTTGATCTACTTTCATTCAGTTTCTCGTGAGATGTAGATTGTCTTCTCGCTAGGTAGTCAGACTTCTGTGCAGAACAAGATGGGCAAGTTCCTGCTCTTGTAGAGTTTACTGCCTAGTGGGAAAGTATAATACTAAGTAATTAATACATTATTATAGAATTATACTTGCAATAAACATTACGAACCTAAAGTTATAGTATGTTTTTAGAATGTATACTTGAGGAATCTAAACAGGAAAGAAAATTCTTCAGTTAAAATCATGATTTTCAGTGGCTCACGCCTGTAATCCCATCACTTTGGGAGGCCAAGGCGGACGAATCACGAGGTCAGGAGATCGAGACCATCCTGGCCAACACGGTGAAACTCCGTCTCTACTAAAAATGCAAAAATTAGCTGGGCATGGTGGCACGTGCCTGTAATCCCAGCTACTCGGGAGGCTGAGGCAGGAGAACCCCTTGAACTAGGAAGTCAGAGGTTGCAGTGAGCTGAGATCCGCCACTGCACTCCAGCCTGGCAACAGAGTGAGACTCCGTCTCAAAAAAAAAATAAAAAGTCATTATTTTGTTATCTTTTTTTGTTTCTATTTAAAATAGAAAACCACAATGCCTCATCTGACCAGTTGGCACAAACCGGAGGATACAATATGGACATGGTATTTATATGTTTTTCTCTCACCAATATCCAGTTTACAGGAGAAGAAATCTTTAATCCTTTTGGTTGGATATTTGATTTCTGAGCTGGAATTTTTTTCTAAGCTAGCAAATTTCAGGATACAAATTGAGTTATTTCTGCCAGCATCCTGGATTGGAATCATGAGATTTCATCACTATGATTAAAAGAGCCTTTCCCTGCTCACAAAGCAAGTTAAACAAAATCAGCAAGATGATGGAGATAAACGTGCTTGGTCCATAAAGCCCAAGACAAGTGTTCTATTAAGCTAGTGCTGTTATAAAGTGAGCACAGGGAGATATGGAAGGCTAGTGTGCATCATTTTGGGGAACTGTACTATATGTAATATTCGTGCAAAAGATGAGCTGTTATTTGCTCCTTTTATTTTATATGCGCTTGCTCAGCACCTTAGGTAGCAGAAGTCATATATTGGATTAAATGGCTCTAGGCACTTGTTCTAGGGGCCCTAGTTTTATCCTTGATCTGGTAAAAGGCTGGAATAGAGAAACTAAGGTTAAAAAAAAAGATTAATGAAGAAGCGGAAGTGAAGAGTCTGGAGCAGAAAATAAGTTTAAATGTCTTTGGGATTTATTTGGAGGTGAAATAGGATCAATAAATTACTAGTGTGTTACTGGGCAATGTGAGGTTTGAAGATGAAGGAAGTGTCTTGAATGTACTTACTATGTTGTATAGAGCCTTAGACTCGAGGTAGTATGATGTTCTTAAGGAAAAGTGGAAAGATTAATATTAATAATAATAATCTGTGTTTCCTTCAGTCGAATTCATAGCAGTTAATGTCTTGCCACATTTGCCTTATCTCTGTATATGTACTTTTTTGTTCATTTATTTGTTGTACATTTGAAAGTGTATTAAAGTTATCAATTTTTGTAAGTTGAATTTGAATATGCCACTTTACTGAATTCTTATTCTTATCGATTCAGTTGATTTTGGGGGGATTTGTCTAATTAGATTATCATATCAGCTGCAAATAAAATGATTTTGTTTCTTTACAATTTTTATGCATCTTTTAAATTTTTTGTAATTTTATTACATTGTCCAGGACTCTAGTGAAGTATCAAATACTATCATTGGTAAAAACGCGACTTTAATGGCAATGCTTCTGGTAGTTCACAGTTAAATACAAGTTAGCTTCTCAGACATTGTTTACATAGTTTTGGAAATTATTTTAATCATAACTTTTTGAGTATTTTGCAAATAATGGTATGGTTTTTTGTTTTTGTTTTTTTTTTTCAAACAGAATCTTGCTTTGTTACCCAGGCTGGAGTGCAGTGGCATGATCTTGGCTCACTGCAGTTTCTGCCTCCTGAGCTCAAGTGATCCTCCCATCTTAGCCTCCCAAGTAGCTGGGACTACAGGTGTGCAGCACCACACCTGACTAATTTTTTAAATCTTTTTTGGTAGAGATGGTGTTTCACCATGTTGCCTAGTCTGGGTATGGAATTTTTATCAGTGTTTTGGTTTAACATGTCTGTATAATGAATTGTAAGCATAGATTTTTCTGATGACAAAGCTATCCTTATATTCTGGAGCTCTAACTTGGTGATGATATTTTAGTCTTTTTATATACTTGAGTACAACTGTATTTTAAATTAATGAATATAGATGCTATTGTGACTGATGAAATAACAGGTGCATTTAAAAGTATTGCCTGTATTTTTATTATTGATATGTTTGCTAAATCAACAGATAGTAAAAATATAACTACTGTCACCTGGAGGACTATAGCATTGTTTGTTGGAAAGAAGACCTCATGCTTGAAATGGTTGGCAGTCAGTAATCTAGATACTTAGAAAAAATGCATATTTTCCTCCTTACCCCTTTTTTGGTAGTTTTGCATGTGAGTATATGGTATATGGTCTAGAGATGATCTTGATATTAATCTGCAGATTCCGCAATCTCAGAAATAAGAGGAACTTGAAGAGGTTACCTCCATTGTTCTGTTTTCTGTTTATCAAAGACTCTCAGAGATGATGACTGTGTTATAGTCTCATGAAGTAACTCATTCTAAAGCTTCACCATCAGTTGGTATCTCCTAACTTTGATGTTCTGGGGTATTCTAGTTAGTAGGCTCTTCTGATATGCTCAGGATTGGTTAAGAGGCTTCTTTCTTGAATATTTGATATTATAACTCTTTCTAAATAGATTAGAATGATGAATATAAAATTTAATAATTATTTGGACAATGGGAGGGGAGTCAGTAGAATCCTTTCTAATAGTAATACAGTAACTGTAAAATGTGAAGAATAGTGTGCATCATTTTGGGGAAGAACGTTTAGAGTAGCACTCGGCATGTAGTTTGCACTCATTAAAGATTACTTCTTATTGTCTAACAAATACTCAAATATTTTATTCCCCATAGCCTTTTGACTTGCATGAGTAATTGAAAAAAAGAAAACCAATTGTGGCTTTCTTGCTAAACAGATGTTTAGAGTACATAAGTCCCTGAGGCCAGCATGTTGAGTTGTCACATCGCTTTAGTGTGAGAAGGAAGGCATCTAGGTAATCAGATTGATTCTGATTGTTTCAAACCAAAATGCTGCTGTCATGTAAGGGGGCTTTGGTCTGAGAGTGTTTGTCAGTGTCAATATTGCCAGTGATTTGGAAAAAAAAAAAGTGTAAAATTTATATATACTGCATTTATAAAGTGCTTAGTGGTAATTCTGCAAATGTTAGTGTTTTGAAAATAGCATTCATCCAGTCATGTGTTTAGAGAAATAGAAATTGTCAAAAGGAAGTTAAAGGGGTTGATGATGTCATTTACATTTTAGTTCCACTCCCAAGTTGGCTGGCTCTTTTGAAGTTGACTCTTAAAATCCTAGAGTCATTGATCTTATAGCTGAAAGGAACCTGGAGAGCATTGATTCAAAATATGTTTGTTGTTGTTGTTGGAACAAATATTGCGTTAGATATTAGAGATATAAAAATGAATAAAATATGGCTGTTGCCCTTAAAGTCTAGCCTAAAAGATAGACAACCTGAACAAATACTTTACTTTGGGGTAGTAAGTTCTGGAATGGAAGCTTTAGGCAGGGGGTAGATTTTCCATGTTTCCTAGGTGTGGCTCCAGCAGCTTGGGCAAGCAGCCCAGGCGCAAACAGCTCCGTACTGGTGATGGTATTGCTGGAACTAGACTCCTGGTCTCTTGATACAAGTCACGTGGGGCTGACCTAGTAAGCTTTGCAAAAGAAAATTTTACCAAGCATGCATGTATGCATGTAAATATCTATGTAAGTATGTACATATGTATTGATTTAGTACCTTGCTCTGTGTAGTTAACAGCTGCTTTATGTGAGACGCATAGACATAGACATTCATGCTTACTTTTTTTTTTTTCTTTTTTGGAGACAGAGTGTCACTCTGTTTGTTGCCCAGGCTGGAGTGCAGTGACACAATCTTGGCTCACTGCAACCTCCACCTCCCAGGTTCAAGCAATTCTCCTGCCTTAGCCTCCCAAATAGCTGAACATTATATTGTTCACCAGTAGTATCTTGTTCCAGGCTATTTCAATTGGAATTATTATTATTAGACCATCACATGTTTATAACCACTTACAGAATTTGATACCACTGTACCTAGCTAATTTTTGTATTTTTAGAAGAGATGGGGTTTTGCCATGTTGGCCAGGCTGGTCTCCAACTCCTGACCTCAAGTGATCCACCTGCCTCGGCCTCCCAAAGTGCTGGAATTACAGGCGTGAGCCACTGCGCCCAGCCAACATTCATACTTTCTTATCCTACATTTTTTGGGGGGCGGGGTACAGAGGTTGGGTGGGGATTCCCGCTAAACATTTAGAACCAACAGCAATGAATAATTTGAGTAATTTGTAATGTGATTGTGTTATTGTGTTATCTAGAACACTATACTCTAACCCTAAACCTCAAGATAAAGGCTTAGATTCCTTTCACGTTACTGTGTCCATGATCTTGACTGCTTCTTCTGCCACATCCCTCCGGTGGTGCTCCCTGCATTGCCACCTACCTGGGGTTCTCCTCGCCTACTGTGCTGTTTCTAACCATCATGCTTTTCCCTGAATCTCTTGAGTCTTTTTCTGCTGTGGACTGAAACTTGATCCTGAGATTCACCTCTAGTCCCTCTGGGCAGCCTCCTGGAATACTCAGCTGGGATGGGTTGGGGCTGCTTGAGGTACAGCTCCCACTGCCTCTGAGTGGCCCTCCATGAAAATGCCTCATGTCTCTGTGTCCCTAAACTGTAGGGTACGTAGCACATTGGTAGATACTTAGTAAATGTTTTGCTGAAGAATTCAAGTTTTTAAATTGCCCTTTTCATTGGACAACTAAAAAATGTGTATGCATATACATGTATACATATATATGTACTTTTTAATGTTCTAATTCTCTTGTATTGTTTTTCATGTAAACATAACTGTTTTGGATTTCAATTGATTTCGAATACATGTTTTGGAGAATATTAAACCCACCACGTTTATATTGTTCACCAGTAGTATCTTGTTCCAAGCTATTTCAATTGGAATTCTTTTTATTAGACCATCACATGTTTATAACCACTTACAGAATTTGATACTTTGGTGCATCCCATGGATTAAAACATACTTTAAAATCTGACATCTATATATTAAACAGTTATTGTAAGCATGATTTTGTTAATGGGGATTTACATCTGCTTTCCAATCTCTGTAGCCATATGAAGTGTAACTAGCCATTATATTTGCTTCTTTAAATATATATCTGGGAAATAAAACTTCAGACAATTACAGTATAAACTAAACCTGATAACAATTGAATAATGAATGATAATCTGTTCAGTTTTTCCCTCCTGTAGAATTAGATAGTTGATGATTTGGTTTAAAAGTAAAAATATTTTTTAAAACCTTGACTTTTCTAAATAAATGAGAATCTGCAAAAGAAACAATGCATATTAAGTACTGATTGTTTCTTGACTGTCATAATGGATGGCCTCTCTCTCTCTGTCGTTTTTAAGAAAGCCAAATTACAGGATAGTTAATATCTTAAAGGACTCTTATCTCAAATACTAGGATGCTGAGACATAAAGGGGGCTTGCTGAGATACTGTGTCAGTAAATGAAACTCAGCAAATCATAATCATCTTTGGATTCTCAGTCATGTTATGTAAGTGGTCACACAGATGGATTTTTAACTCTGATTTTCCTAAGTTGCTTTCCTGGCCATTAAACGGTTGGGAAGGTACTCTCGGATGCAGAATAAGAAGAATGCATTACTGTGACTTTAAGAAGGAAATTAAGTAGGGAGGGAAAATGGGGATGTTGTGACTGCTGACATTTGTGGCCTCCTTTCATTTGCGTAAGAGATGGACTGGCTTCTCTGTGGCTGCGGTTGCCATGGAGAGGTAGTGGGGGAGGACTTCCAGGAGGCAGCCCATGAGCGAGAGTCTGCCTTAGAGCTGCTCCTAGATGTGACGTGAAGGGGCAGGGAGCTCAGGTGTGCCGCGGCGGCACAGATAATGGGGATGGCCGACCTGTCATGGCTGGTAACGTGACTGTGCACATACCCCTGGGTGTGACGGATGTGTTTGTGCAAGTGCCTGTGGATTCTCTATGTGAAATGAAAGGATTGTAATGTTGTGTGTGTTCCCACCCTTTGATGCGATTTCCTACACTTGATGTGATTTGATGAAAAGAGTTTAAACAATTAAACCAAATGTACACCCTGGTTATAAAAAGAGACTAACTTCAATTGGCACGTTTGCATATAGGTAAATGACATCAATAGCAGGTCAAATAAATTACTGTGGGACTAATACACTCAGAAAAATCTAATATGGTAGGTTAAACTGTAACCAGAAATGACTGTGTTACTAACCTGGTATCATTGTTATACAGATATTACAGAGTGGTGTAGCTGGCTAATAGAAGAAAAACGAAACAATGAAAGTTAGAAGATTTTTTTCTGCATAAAATGTAGAAGAAAATCACTTGCATGTTTTGTAGATAAAATGCTTATATCTGAAGAGATGAATTTTGAGAATTTTGATCATTGTTATAGTATATTTTATTGGAAATACTTTTATATCAAATAGAAAATTGCTAACAAGTTTATAGTATGATCATTTTATGGCTTTTGTTGACATAAGTGGTAAATTGAATATGAAAATTATATTTGTCTTTTGTTTTCTTGTGGATATCATTGTGGATATTGCCTTTGTTTAAAAATAAATGTGATTGGTAATTTTAACTTAAACACCAAGCTACAGTTTAAAAAAAATTTCTAAGTAAAAATCTATTTCTCGTGAGGAAATCCTATGATGTATTAAATTTACCAAATATAAAGAAACTTACTTGACTTCTTAGTTTTCTGATGAAATTTGAATGAGAGCCAAGTATTAATATTGTTTTATAGTAGAGTCAAAAATAGTTTAGGTGAAATAATACATTGTCAGTTTGTTAGTCATTGACTGCTTAATGCATATTACAACTTATTTAAAGAATAACTAGTTGCCTAAGTCAAATCTGTGAAATGAATGCCAAATCTTTTCTTTTTAAAAGTATAGTGTTAGGTAAAATCTAGGTGATGGTGTTACATAGTGCCACTGAACAAATTTGTAGAATGTTCAGATTTACTTAGAATTTACTTAGAAATTATTACATTAAGTTAAAATATTTCAGAAATTACTTAATACATGTTAGAGATTATATATATAAAACTATTCCTTTAATGATAACCTTATTTGGCTTCCTAAACCTTCCATTTCTTTTTTATTTGGAATATTGTATAGTAAGTCTAAATTTCTTTACCTTTTGAGTACGATATTTAAATGTATAAACATTTATGAGTTATTAGATACAGATATTGATGTAATTAAACATTTCATTATTTTTCTTAATTTTTAAATTAATTCTAAGTTACATCTATTCAGCAAGGAAGCCAAAATTGGTTTTCTTTTTTTCAATTGCTCGTGCAAGTCAAAAGGCTATGGGGAATAAAATATTTGAGTATTTGTTAGACAATAAGAAGTAATCTTTAATGAGTGCCAGCTACATGCCGAGTGCTACTCTAAATATTCTTATTCTTGTTTTTTCTGAATCTCATGCAACTTTGTGAGGTAGGTACCATTTTCTCACCCATTACAGATGAGGTAACTGAGGTTTGGCTTATAAGTAACTTGCTCAATGTCATAAAGATAAGAAAGGGATAGACCAGGATTTGAACTGAGAGAAGTTTCTAACACCCACACGTTACTGTCATTTTGCGTATTGAAAGTATAGTGTAGTCTGGCATAGTGGGAAAAGCTTTCTGTTCAGGTGTCCTGGGATGGAATCCCAGCTTTCCTTGTCTTAGCTGAGTGACCGAAGTTACGCCTCTTCATGCCTTAGTTTTCTCACAGGTACTTACTAGAAGAATACATGTGAGTACTTTCATTCTTGTGCTAAATGTGAAGACTCCCCTGTTAGTAGTAGTTATTGCTAACACGTATCATTATTCATGATTTAAAAATATAATATGCTAATCTAAATTATGTTTTACTCTTTTTGGAAATAGTTAATAGAATAAAAGGAGGAATAAAGAGGATATGATTAAAGTAATATTGAATGCTTTTCAGTTATCATTAAAATATTTATTGATTTCTAGCAGAGTTTTTCAACCTCAGCTCCATTTATGATTTGGCCTAGATAATTCTTTGTCTTGGGCACTGTCCTGTGTGTCACGGGATATTTGACAGACTCCCTGGCCTGTACCCACTAGATGCCAATTGCAGTCTTCCTCCCTCAGTTGTAAACCAAGATGTCTCCAGGCATTTCCAAATGCCTTTTGGGGGGCAAAATCACCCCAACCTAAAAACCACTAGTGGAGTTATATGGCATTAAACAAGATTGGGATGAGGACATTGGTGGAAAGTGGGGAGGGAGGAGCTGGCTCATGTTGGCAGGTGTGGCTGCACGTGGAAGGTGGGTTGGAAGGCAGGGAAGGGCAGGAGCAGATGCCATGCAGAGGACTGCAAAGAGGCAGAGGCAGATGTCTTGGGGAGAGAAGGGGCTTGGATCTGGGTGGCTGAAGTGGGCAGCTTGGAGAGGTTTTTGGAGGAAGAATCAGAGGACTTGGGGATTGCCAGAGTATTACACATTTGACAGCACTTAATAAAGAACAGTGAAGGTTTTGAGAGGTGGTCACTGGGCAGTCTGCAAGACTGACTCTCCAACCAAGTGAAACCTCTTGTGTACCAGCTTCACCATGCATGAGATTCACATATGTTTCTTAGTGGTAAAAATCATTGCATGTCCTAGACCTTCCTGAGCACTGCAAACCTTGGGTCTTAAGTTTGGGACTGCCAAGTGACTCCCATATTTAAAACTTCCATGATTTGCCTTGGTTTGAAGATTAGGTGTGATCTTGGAAAATGAGAGACCTCAGATTTTGGCAAGGAACATGCCTTGGTATAATATATAATATTCCCTCTTCCTGGATTCTTGCCAGGTTGCTTGCTCCTACCCAGGTTTCTGGCCTTGACCCTAGAGCTTTCTTCTCTAATGCATCTACTTGTAAACTAAATAATTCATTGGACACCAAATAAATTTTTTTTAATGTATTGTGACTCAGTGTTTTTGAGTCACAATTTTGAAGTTTACGGATTTCTGGAAGCAATGCATCCCTATAGTGGGAACGGCATATGTATCATAAATTTTGTAAATGGTAATGACTAAAGTATTCCAGACTCTTTCTGTGTTACAACAGTCAGGGAAACCAGATGAAGTTTCTTTCTTTCTCAGCAAATAACCTCAGCAGGCTGTTTTGGGAGCTATTTCAATAAGGTCATCACAAGCAGAACTTAATGATCGTTTGTTAACAGCAGTGGGTGACATCACCACGAATTGTAATTGCAACTTAAATGATAGTATTATAAGGTACTTTTTAGTGTTCATTATTTCAGTAGTGGTGATAAAACCTTTTTTTATTCTGCAAAATTATGCTGGTGAAATTGTATGTATCTGCATGTGTCTGTCTGTGATTTCTACCATAGTAAAATGAAACTTCAGTTTTGAGCCAGAACTGAGAACTCTTGGTTCTTAGGTCTAGCCCAAGAGAAGACAAAAGGGAAGAGAAGGGAGAGGCTACCTTTCCTGACAGCTTCATGGAGTTTTCATTTTTTGTGTGTCCCCTCCCCACGCCGTACACACACATATTCCCATTACACTTCTGTTGATCAGTTAGATCAGTTAGTGGCTGCTCTGTTTTTCCCTGCAAAAGGAATTTTTCAATTTGATTTTCCATCCCGATTTCCCAGTGGGCCTTCATGAAGCAGTCAAGACATTTTCAGTATGTTCTTTCCCTCCAACAGATGTGAATCCAGCCATATTGAGCATATGCTGTGTTTCTAGGGCTGTACACATACTGTGGGGTTGGCTCTTCTATCTTCAGGTTGCTAAAACATCTCAGATGGAAAAGAGATTCACACATAATAGATAATTTAAGGCCCAAAAAAGACCTAAATCATGGTGGACAAATTGGATGCAACTAAATGCCAAATTGTATGAACTAGGTAAAGGTCTGTGCAATGTATAGGGAGGCAAGAAACTGTTACTTTCCTGGAATCATTAGTAGGTGTTTCTGAGAGTTGGAGTTAAAGCATGTCATGAAAAACTGGTGAGTTGTGGATAAATGTTGGGACCTGGGATAGGAGAATAACTATGATAGATTCTGATCATGGCGTTTGATATTAGAGGGTGATGCAGACATGAAACAAGCAAGGTCACACACATACATTTAACACAAGAAGAGGTGGGGTGCTGTTGGTGCACACTGGAGTGCTCCCAGTTAGTGTCAGGAGAGAGCTTCAAGAGCATGTGACATTGATGCTCACACATGAAAGATGAGAAGTTGCCAGGTCAGGCAGGACGCCCTTTTGATACACACATAGAATACAGGGATGTGGCATAGAGTATCACTGTACCAGCAACTTCCCGTTCTGGAGGCAAATCTGCCTGGGTTCAAGCTGGTTCTTCCCCTGACGGGCTCTGTGAATTCGCTTCTGTGTGCCACTGTTTGCTCCTCTGGAAAATGGAGGTGAAGGGTGGTCTCCTCCCAGGTAGGTTTTGTGTGTGTGTGTGTGTGTGTGCGTGTGTGTGTGTGTGTGTGTGCATTGAATGGTTGTTACAATATAATAACTGAAAAGAGCTCTAAGTCCAGTTTTATTTTAGTGTGTTTTTGCTGTGATTTGCCTAACTTGGTTTCTATGATGCAGTTAGCTTCTGCAAATGGCAGAGCTGATAAACGATTAGAAAGCTATTTTTGGTTTGACTGGTTCAGATGTAGATGTGAAGTCCTCAGAACAGCACTCAGCACACAGGAAGCTGTTACTGTTGGATATCCCCCAGTAGGGCCTGAAGTGCGAGGGTGCGGCTGTGAGTAAGGAGAATGAGGGCTTCCCAGGCAGGTGTAAAGGAACATTGGGGAGGTGATTCTCATGAGAAGGAACACCATGAGCTTGAGGCAGCAGTGGGGGAAGGCAAGCTGTGTGCTGTGGGCATCCCTAAAAGGCAGTGTTGTTCATTCAAGAGGAGAATTTTCAAGGGGAGCGATTCTTACGCTGGATGGGAACAGATAGCTTGTGCGCTGTTTCCATTGGTTTTAAGAGCTGTGTGCGTGTGTGTTAATTCTGTGTTTTGCTGTGTATTTTACATGTATCTTAGGGAGTTTAAGAAATAGTTAATCTTGTTAAGTATCCAAATAATTGCATGATGACCATCCCTCTTGTGCTACCACATAATAACTGAAAAGAGCTTTAAGTCTTAAGTTCAGTTATATTTCTGTGTGTTTTCACCATGATTTGTCTAACTTAGTCTCTTTGTTGCAGTTAGCTTCTTAGGCAAATGGCAGCAGCTGATAAATGATCAGAAAGCTATTTTTGGTTTGACTAGTTCAGATCCATACATATGAAGTTACAAGCTTAATTACTGTTATTTTTGGCCAGAGTCCTTGGAAGTGTTGGACTTAGCCAAGTACTTCCTTTGTGAAAGAAATGACACTTGTTCATTGTTTGAATTGTGATGATTTCTCAAAGCATATGAATTTTTTGACTGCTTAGATTATGAAGATTTAGATGGGGAATTTTGTGCATTATAAATTTTATCATAAATAAATATTTGTTCGGAACCACTTTAATGTATGATGGGCCCAATATTATCATTGTCTTCTCTGAGCTATTTCTTCAAGGTAACAGTGAAAACGAATAACTAGAAGGCATTATGTTTATATATAATGGGATGGTGGATATATTTCAAACAAAGACACTGTGTGTGTGTGTGTGTATATATATATACACACACATACACTTTATTATATATACATACATACAAAATATATGTACTGTTATTTAGTTAGGCTAATGGCTTTGAACAACAATAATAATAGTAATGTGGATTCCAGATAATTTATTTTCCTGAAATATAATTTAGTGTATTTTCATCAGCAGATTTGGTGGTACATTTTCTAAGTATTAGTCTTTGGAAAATCCGTTTAGGGAATATATCTCTGAATGTGTTGGCTGGTTAGAGTTAGTGTTAGGGATAGGGTTAGGGTTTAAGTTTAATTAAAAAACTAACTTTTAAATAATGATTAATTATTAGTATTATGGATCTTGCAGTTGACTACCTATAAATTTCTTTATGTTTTAACCATTTTCTATTTTTATTGAAGTGTATCACTTAGTAGTTACTATCATTTACATTTAAAATTGTAGCATGGAAAATTAATAATTGGAATGTTACATATTTAATCTATTTCTGTGAAACTACAAAAAATTTGTGAACTTTTCTCATGAATTCTTTAAAGGAAGTTGACTGGCCGTTTAGCCATTTATTTTACAGAAATAATAATAAGGACTATTTAAACAATGTAGTTAATTTTAAAGTTTTTGAGCTTGGATTTTTTTTTTAAGGTATATTTTTCTTGTGGTTATAAAATGTTAATTCTTCCCTGCTTTTGAGTAGGCGCCAATGGCGTAGAATGGTTTGGATTTATTGCATTTATCTGATGCCAAGCTGGAGATTATTGGGTGCCCTGCCTGCTGTGTGTCCAGCTCTGTGCTGAGGACAGTGGTGAGCAACTCCTGCTTGTGTCCCCAATTCCTGCCTGTCCTCCCCAGACCATGCACTCCATGGTCTGGTGAGGGGCTGTTATGATGAAAGGAAACAACTGCTCTGGTAGGGAAGGGAAGGTATTAGGTTATGTGGGGTACAAATCAATGGCCCCCAATGTAGTCTTGAGGAATTGTAAGATGTTAGGGTGTTTGTTGGTTTATTTTGATGATAATTCCCAAATAAAGATCATATCTGTAGTTGATGACTAAAGCTGTTAGATTTTATCCATTGTATTCATTTTATTTTTCTCCCCTCTAAGACCTACTTATATTTTTCATACCTTTTTAATTTCTGATTCGTGCTGGTGAGGGGGCTGTGCTTTAGAAGAGATGCAGATTTTGAGATGAAAGAGCAGACTTCTTAACTGACCTCAGAATACTTTTTTTGTTTTTTGAGATGGAGTTTCGCCCTCGTTGCCCAGGCTGGAGTACAGTGGCACGATCTTGGCTCAGTGCAATCTCCGCCTCCTGGGTTCAAGTGATTCTCTTGCCTCAGCCTCCCAAATAGCTGGGATTACAGATGCACACCACCATGCCCGTCTAATTTTGTATTTTTAGTAGAGGCGGGGTTTCACCGTGTTGGCCAGGGTGGTCTCAAACTCCTGACCTCAGGTGATCCGCCCACCTTGGCTTCCCAAAGTACTAGGATTACAGGCACGAGCCACCATGCCCAGCCTGACCTTAGAATACTTTAACTAACACTTTTAACTAAATTAAAGGAATGTAAAGGGTAAAGAATCATGTTTTGTAATACTTATAATAGTATTATTGTCAGTTAGATGATGTTAAAATATTCTTAATTTGGAAGGAGGAAACAGGCATCAAATAAATTGGAAGTATGGAATAATGTATTGAGTTTAAGGGAGAATACTTAAGAATCTGACAGTATGCGTATATATTCATATATGTGCACACGTATTTGTGAAGATATATGTGTAAATCGTCACACATATATGTAATATGTGTATTAAGCATATAAGCAAGCAGGCACTTATATACTTTCAGGGAATTGAGACACCCAAGTTTGTTTTTTATTTGGCTGTCCATATTTACACATATGTTCATATATATTATACATACCTGTGTATTTAAATGAGTAAATAATATATCTTTAATATGAGTAATACATGAACTTAAATCAACTAATACAGAAGCATATACAATAAAAAATTGGTGTTTTCTCCCTTTACTTGCCTCTGCTCTTTATCCTTATTATCAGCCTTACCAATTTCTTGTCACTTTCCCCAGAAATGCAGCTATGATAATATTATTCTTTAAAACATGTGTGCACATACACAAAAATTGACTTATGTAATGTACAAAGTCATTAATCATTTAACAATGGGATACATTCTGAGAAATGTGTCGTTAGGTGATTTCCTCATTGGTCATTGTGCAAACACCATGGGGTGTACTTACACAAACCTAGATGGTACAGCCAACTACACACGTAGCCTATATGGTATAGCCTATCGCTCCTAGGTTACAAACCTGCACAGCATGTTCATTTACTGAATACTGTAGGCAATTACAGCACAGTGGTATTTGTGTATCTAAACAGAAAAGGTATAGTATAAAAGATAAAAAATTCATACAACCTGTATAGGACACTTACCATGAATAGAGCTTGAAGGACTGGAAGTTTCTCTGGGTTGAGTCAGTGAGTGGGTGGTGAGTGGATGGGGAGGCCTAGGACATTACTGCACGCTACTGTAGACTTTATAAATGCTGTATACTTAGGATATACTCAATTTTTTAAAAAATTGTGTTAGTACGCATATTCTCACTCATAGGTGGGAATTGAACGATGAGAACATATGGACACAGGAAGGGGAACATCACACTCTGGGGACTGTTCTGGGGTGGGGGGAGGGGGGAGGGATAGCATTGGGAGATATACCTAATGCTAGATGACGAGTTAGTGGGTGCAGCGCACCAGCATGGCAAATGTATACATATGTAACTAACCTGCACATTGTGCACATGTACCCTAAAACTTAAAGTATAATAATAATAAATAAATAAATAAAAAGAAAAAAATTGTGTTAGTAATAAATTAACTGTAGCTTACTGTAACTTTATAACCTTTTAATTTTTAACTTTTTGACTCTTCTATGATAACATCTAGCTTAAAGCAAACACATCGTATAGCTGTACAAAAATATTTTTTATATTCTTATTCTATAAGTTTTTTTCTATTTTTAGAATTATTATTTTTTACTTTTTTAACTTTGTTATTAAGAACTAAGACACACACACACACATTAGCCTAGCCCTGCACAGACTCAGGCTCATCAGTATCATTGTCTTCCATCTCTACATCTTGTCCCACGGAAGGTCTTCAGGGGCAGTGACACATATGGAGCTGTCATTTCCCATGAGAACAGTGCTTCTTCTGGAATCCCTCCTGAAGGATCTGCCTGAGGCTATTTTACTATTAACTTTTTTTAAAAATGAGTAGAAGGAGTACAGTCTAAAATGACAATAAAGTATAGTAAATACATAAACCAGTCATATAGTCATTTACTATCATTATCAAGCATTATGTATTGTACATAATTGCATGTTCTGTATTTGTATATGACTGGCAGTGCAGTGGGTTTGTTTACACCAGCATCACCACAAATACGTGATGACTGTGTTGCATTATGATGTAGAAAGCCCAAATATCACTAGGCAATATGGATTTTTCGGCCGGGTGCGGTGGCTCATGCCTGTAATCTCAGCACTTTGGGAGGCCGAGGCGGGTAGATCACTTGGGGTTAGGAGTTCGAGACCAGTGCGTGGCCAACATGGTGCAACCCTGCCTCTACTAAAAAGAATTTTTCAACTCCTTTATAATCTTGTGAGACTACCATCGTACATTTAGTCTGTTGTTAACTGAAATGTCATTATGGAATGCTTGACTGGATACTAATATGAAAGTCTATTATTTAAAAAATTTAGGATTCTCATACTCTAAAAAGTCACTATCCATATTTCTACAGTTTGAACTTAAATTGAAAGTTAAAGCTCTACCAGTAGGAAAACACCAGCTAGTGACCTGACCATTTATAAAATTTGGCTCCACTCAACCGCCTCCATGATTTTAGGTTACCGTTTATTTCCCATCCATCTGATCAGTATCTTTATCAGTTTCTTGCTGATTTTTAATTTTCTCACTCATAGTAATTTTATTTACATAGTATGCATTTGAAATAGAATGAGAACAAAGCACTCCCAATTTTCTCTAGTGACCAAACATGATAAAACACAAACCAGGATCTATTAAAGTAAATGAGAACTCGAGACTCTGAATTACAAATCAGAATCAGTAGGTCCTGACTTCATCAGTCTATAGTGTTCTGTTCCAGCATTCTTTTGAAGCATCTCTCTTGGAATAAGCCCCCACCCCTTAGTCTCATGTTCCAAATTCATTGTTATGTGTACACATTGACTTCTCATCCCTAATAGACCATTTCTGTTTCTTCATTTGTTCATGTAGTAGTTAACCTGTTGATTCCAGACACTTCCCTCGGTTATGTGTGTAAATTGTGCAAGCCACTGGATGTGCAGTGCTGAAAGTGGGTCACCTCCTTGATAGTGGGGGGCTGGCATTGCCATACCTCCTGCCCCCCAGCCAGAGCCCTCTGTGCCTTGTGAGAGACTCTGATCGCTCTCCTGATATACTAACTCTTCACCACTCTCCTCTCACCTTGTGTATTTACTTTCTGACTCACACCATTGTTCCCCAAATATTGTCTTCCTTTTCCTATTTATACCCTTCTTCATGTTCTTTCCTCAAAGAAGTGTTTCCTGTCAACCCTCACAGTTTGCCAGTATTCAACAGGTTGAAAGAGAACAAATTATTAATTTTTTAAGAAGCACTTTAAACAGAAGGTGCTTTCAGTTTTTCAAAAGATTTTCATAGCTGATAACATACTTGCTATTTGCTGTGTATGTTAGAAAATAGATTGGGAGCAAACCATCTATTTTATTTCAGTTTTGTGTTATTAAAAAATAATCATTTCAGCCTAGTGTTTTAAGGCTTTTCAGAAATAATGTGAAATAATTTAATATTACTAAGATTTAGGGTTGTATGAGTTCATATTTATGGGATGGCCTTGGGCTTGAGGGCATTTTTAGATGAGTTAATTTTTTGTAATCTGTTTTATTTATACATATACTGTAAATGCTTTAATTCATTGTTATTTTTGCTTTAAACAATTATCTTTTGAAGAACTAAAGAAAAAGATATAGTCTTACATTTGCCTCTGTCTTTTTCTTCTTATAAATTGGGATTTGGCAACCTTTTTTTGTAAGGCACAAGATAGTAAATATTACAGATTTTGTGGACCTCATAGTCTGCAGTCTTTGTCACATATTCTTCTTCTTTTTTTTTTTTTATTAAATAAATAATGCATGGGCACTACAGAAACAGCGATAGGCTGAAGTTGGCCTGTGGACCATGGTGCTCTGTCCCCTGCTATGGTGCTTATTTCCATCTGTTGTCATTTTCCATCAGCCTGAATCAGCCCCTTTTAGCATTGCTTATAATATTGGCAAGAAATTGTCTCAACTTTTTTCTAAAAATATCATCACTTTGCTTTACTTTCAAAGGGTAATTTGGCTAGATATAGAATTCTAGTTAGACATTTTTAAATCCTGTTGCCTCGCTGCTTCTCCCTCCCCTTCCCCTCTCCCACTTCGTGCCCCTCCCTTTCCTCATCTCTATTCCTGTTTTAATCTGCTGGTTTGCTGTGATAGGTCTATGTGTAGTATCCTTTAGAGTCATCTTCCCTGGGTTCACCGAGCCTCCTGGATCTGCAGGCTGATATTTTCAGTCAAGTTTGGGGAATATTCTTCTATTCCCTTTTTCCAGCTCTCTCTTCTGGAGCTTTCGTTGCATCTGTGTTAGATTACATGATATGATTCCACAGTTTGTTCATTTTTTTCAGGCTTTTCTCTGTATGCGTTGGTTGGATAATTTTTGTTGACTTGTCTTCAAGTTCGTGACTCCTTTCCTAACGGCAGTGCCCTGTCTGCTGTTATTCTCATCCAGTGAATTTTTATTTCAGCTATTGTACTTTTCTGTTCTAGTATTTCCATTCTTTTTAGAGTTTCTATATCTCTTCTGAAATCTTCTACTCTTCATTCATTCTTTACCCATCTTTTTTCTGTAAATTATTTCCTATATATTATAGTTATTTTACATCCCTTGTCTGCTGATTCCAACATCTTTGTCTTGTGTAGTTCTTATTCTTTTTACTGCTTTCTCTGTGTGTCACATTTTTGTGATTTGCGTGCCTAATAATTTTTAATCACATAGAGAACAATGTGGATATGTTTTAGAGGCTCTCTATTGTCATCTGCATCTGAAGATTATCATGTGTTTTCTAGCAGGCAGTTAAATTACTATCAGATTATTTCATAGACTGGTGGAGGCTTGCTTTGAGGCCTTTTAGAGTAGGTCTGTTGAGTTGCCCGTAGTCTGAAGTTTCAGTGGAAATAGAAGATGTTTGCTTGGCTACTCTATCCCTGGCAGGACTTGAGTTCCTAGCTCCTTGTCCCCCATATTGAGTCACTGCTGATACTTTGCTCAGTTCTTCCAGTCTTCCTTTGGGTGGCTTTACTTTGGGTTCCTTGTCTTCTACACAAGCAGTTCAAAAGACAGCCAAGGATTTGAGGGTTTGTTATTAGATTCTAGACTCCCTCCTCTGAGTCTCCCTCTTTTCTGGGATTTCCGCTCACTGTACCTACCTCCTCCCAATTTCCAGCTGCCCCAGACCCCATCTCTGTGTCCTCCAGCTCAGTAATACTGCTTCCTGCCTCACTGTTCCTAGGGGACTGGCCGTTGCCCTGGGGGAAAGACCATTTAAATGTGGCCTCACCTCCTTCGCATCTCAGCCTTTAAGGGTCAACACATCTAGTTTCTGCCAGCTCTTGGTCACTCTCCAGCACTTTCATTAAAAATATATATTTTCTCTACATTTTTATTGTTATTAGAAGGAGGGTTAGTCTCATATAGGCTATTCTGCCATTACCAGAAGCCTGAGTCCTAAGTGAGTAGATATTAAAATCTTGGGGAACCTTTGCCATCCAGATTTTCATCATGTTAAAGGATTAAGACACTCTGGGAAGCCTCCTGAGCTGGCAGGCGGAAAAATAAGATGGTGCTGGGATCCTTTTGGTTGGTGAATTTGAGTGCCCCCGGTTGGCTGGCAGGGTTTGTGGGTGAGCTGGTGAGAGGTCCCTGCACCACACACTCCCCACCTCACTACTGCTGGGAACAAAAGTAGATTGATTGGAGTGGGTGTGCACCATGAGAGCTGTACATCACTGTTCTTTCTTCCTTGTGCATTTGTAGAAATTGCATTGTTTACTGTATGTTATAGGTACTTATGCATGAAAACATTTTATTTGATTAAAATATTTTCATCTCCACTAAAGCTTAGGTTCTAAAATGGGGGATACTGCCTTACTCAAAAGTTGGCACATGGCCGATTCTAAAGATGATGTGAGTGTCCTATGCCAAGCACAATGCCTGATGCACCGATACCAGTGATTTTTTCTTTCCTGTCTACTCTCTTCCACTCTATGATAGTTGTTAAAAATAATTGGATTGGGAAATTAAGAAAAGGAAAGATTATATACCTACTTTTTAAACTTATTTTTCCGTATGGCAAAATAAGAATAGTGTGTACTAGTAAGAGCTATATTACTATATTATTTGGGGAGAAATTTAACAACTGAAAAAAATGAAAATGAGCAGAAAAGTTAGTGTTCAATAGCACCATAAAAATGTATCTTTGAATCCTCATTCACAGTGCAAGAATAATGATAGTGTAGTGTAGGTCTGTAGCAGGGGTTCTTGACATGGATTTAGGGGTCTCCATAGATCGCTGCAGTCCTTAATTGTATGAAAAAGTGTGTGTGTGTGTGTGTGTGTGTGCGCGCGCGTGCATGTCCTTGTCTCTCTTTCTGAGAGAGGCTGTACGCTGGTCATGAGATTTTTTTTTTTATAGAGATCTTTTGAAGTTTTATTCTTTTTAAAAAATTATCACTTTTTTAATAGAAAAAGTGATGGATCAGTATTGGAGTAGGATTATGAAGATGTAATTTATAAAGATAGAAAGAATGTATCCATGTTTTCTTATGTCTTTTCATGTTTGATAGTATGTATGTATACATACACAAACATGAAAAATAACCTGGAAACTAATGTGGTAATATGTTAACAGTGGCAAATTGGGATAGTTGAAATACTTTCTTCTTGTATTAGATATCGTTTAAATTTCAAAAACCAAAGTTAAATCTCACAAGTTAATTAGTTCAAACAGAAAAGACAGTAAAAAAAGTACAGTGAAACCTGTGTCTTTCTCACACCGCCCCTTTCCTCAGGGCTGACTGCAGCAGTGACTTGTGTATCCTTTCATGCACACGCACAGGCACGTAGACACGTGCATGACACAGATGGAAGTGTACCATGTACATTGCTCTGCTCCTTGGGTTTGGCGTTTTAGATTTTGTATCTTGAAGGCTTTCCAATTTTCAGATTCTTAAAGGGGAGGTCTTTGACCCTATCTCCCAATCCCCTCGAAAGGAATGAAGAACTTTGGATGTCTAGAAATTGTTTTCTATTCTGTTATCCTTTTCAGCTTTGGTGTGTGCAAACCTGACTCCTAGTGGTAGTTCAGAAATTATTTCCTTTCCTTTGGGCTCAGATGATTTTTAGGGGCAGTGACCTTTTGAATGCCCACTCTGCGCTGGCCTTTAGCTGCTTCACCTCACTCGTCTTGCACTGTCACATGTCATTTCTTGTTTATTATTACTAACACTACAACAACACGTGTTGAGTTTGGTAATCTTTCAGTTTTTAAAAAATTTCAGATTGGGCCTTTTTTTTTTTTCTAAACTTCATTATGGAAGTTTTAAAATGATTACAAAATAGAATAGTGTAATAAGCCTCCATTTACCTATCGTTCAGCTTCAGTAACTAACAGCTGGTAGCCAGTCTGGTTGCATTTACTACTCTGGCTACTTCCACCCTCCCACATTGCTTTAAAGCTAACCTTGGGGATATCATCTCATTCCTATGTTTTCATTATATAAGCTCCAAACGATAAGGGATATCTTTTCATGTCATCACAATACCTTTGTGAAACAAACAAAAATAAAGAAGAGTAATTTCCTTAATAATATGGTCAAATATCCTGTCAGTATTTGAATTTCCAGTTGTCCCCAGTAGTGTAATTTTTTAAACATTTCGTTAGAATGAGGGCAAATAAGCTCCACCTGTTTTATAAGTTGATGTATCTTTTGTATTCTTTTGATCTGTGGGTACCCTTTCCAATTCTCTTCTTGCTTTTTTTGCAGGTTATTTTTGAAAGGAACTGAGTTGTTTGTCTTATAGCTTTTTTACCATTGGTCTTTGTTTTTTCAAACAGTCAAATATAGAAATATGCTTCATTAAAGAATATTAACTGATTGCTTTTAAGTTTTTAGATATTCTTTCAATATCAGATTATATTTGAATATACATTTGTTGCCTAACATATCTCTGTTTATGGCTTTGACTTGTATGGGTTACTAATTAAGCACATGTTTATTGATTTGAAGTAGGGTATACTTTTTGAAATAAAAACTCACAAGAAAAAATAGTTCAAAATCAGATAAAATTACTTTGAAAACATCTTAGAGAGAGAGATGCTGTTTTAGTCTGTTTGTGCTTGCTGTAACAAAACACCTGAGACTGGATAATTTATAAAGGAACAGAAATTTCTTTTTCACAGTTCTGGGGGCTGGGATTCCAAGATCAAGGTGGCAGCACTGGTGAGGGCCCTCTTGCTGTGTCTTCACATGGAGGAAGGCAGAAGGTTAAGAGAAGGACAAACCCTGTGTCCTCACATGGCTGAAGAGCGGAAGAGAGTAAACCCACTCCTGCAGTCCTTTTTTATATCAGCATAGGTCCATCATGAGGGTGGAGCCTTCATGACCTAAACACCGCCCAGTAGACCCTGCCTCCCATTGCTGTTGCATTGTGGATTAAGTTTCCAACACATGCATTTTGGAGGGGACAAAAACATCGAGACCACAGCAGACAGCCATATCAGTGCAACAGGTAGTGAGTGAATTTGTCTGCCAAATTTCTGATTGGGGCTGAAGGAAAGAGAATTCTTGTTTCACTTTTAATTAGAATATAGTCAGCTACTTAACGTTACATGAGAGAGGCCTTTTCAGAGTCTCTGTGATGTGAGCATAGATTACCTAGAGTAAGTTTTCCGTAGAGGTGGATCTTGCTGGAGGGATGATGTATATCAAATAGGAAGCCAGGGCCCTAAACTACAACTTACAAAGCCCCAGGAGGAGCCCAGAAACTTCTCTTACTGACAGAGTTTTCTTCCTAAGTGAATTATCTGAAGCATTGTGAACCCGAGTCATATGCAGTGAGGCCTCAATTATAACTGGATTATGTAACAAAAATTCAGTTTTAAATCTGTGGTTTGGTGCCCAGACCACATTTGCCCTTAGTAATAATGTGTCATATCAGATTAGGTTTTCAGCATAGCCTGCAAAAGGTATTTAATTTGCGATGTACCTGACTATTGTCACTGGCAATACAGAGCTCATCCTGCTAACGTCATCCCTGGTGGCGATGCCATTGTGTCCAGAGGGACGCTTTGTTCAGGGTTACATTCAAGACTCCAGGTGGGTGCTCTAGTGCCATGGGATCCTGGACAGGAGCTCTGAAGTCCTTGGCGTCCTTGTCATAAGTCATCTGCACTTGTCATCTTTCGTAGGCATGTGATGGGGAAGTGAGAGCTTCCTGAAGTAAGGAGCCTTCTCAGGGAATGTGTGAAACTTACAAGGGGAAGATGGGGCTGGAGATCCACCAGCTGAAGGTGCCAACACAGTGATGATAAGTCCGGTGTCTGGGGCTGGAAGGTCTTAAGTCTTAGCTGTTGGTTTGGTCGTTGGGTCTATAGTAGAAAACTGAAGCATCAGTATATTATTTATCTCAAATTGACATCTAATTCTGTTGAGACTTCTAGAAGAAATGTAATGGCATTCTTCCCTTTCTCATCTTCTGTGCCTCTCAGTCTCCCTCTTCTTACTCAAGAGGGGGTTGGACAGTTATTTTCACTGTTTCTTTTCTGCTACTCCCACATTTTAAATCTTCATCCTTTCCTTTTTCTCTTAGAGAGTATGGATGTGTTTGTATCTGTAGTAATTTGAGATCACAGAATGCGATGGAGTACCATCTTGAAAAGAGGCTATATCTTGCTTGCTGTTGTATTTCCCCCACAGAGAATTACCAATTCTGGAAAGGATTACAAAAGAAGAGGACATTGTTTAGGTAAGAAGATGGTGAAGAAGAATGCATATGGCAAGTTAATGGGACAGTTGTGAATAGTGACTGTAGGATTAATATCTGACAGGCAGGTCTGTTGATCTCAATACTCCTAGAGAAGGGATGTGAAAGATGCCAAGCAAAGCATTGACTCAGCTATAATAGCTAAAAAACATAGTCACTAATTGACAACTTAGCATTTAAGAACGTCTGAAAGAATAGTCTCGGTGGTCTGTGTTTCGTTTGACTTGGTCCGCATTGTCAGGCTTGGTGCTGCCCCGTCTCTGTTGCTCAGATCCTCTGCCCCAGTACCAGTAGACCAAGCTTTTCTCAGAATGTGTCTTGTTCCAACAGAACCAGAAATCTGAAATATCAGAAAGGATTTGCTCCAACACATAGTACAGTTCTCATGGTTCCTGGTCTGCAGTGAGCTAAATGCACAAGGCCCAGGAAGGGGAGCGGCTCGGATTTGGAGAGGCAGTCAGAGTTCACTACACTTAGTGGCTTAGTTTCTGTGTTTTTGCCCCAGGTAATAGCAGCACCTTGTATCTGAGTCCTCCTTAAAAAAAAAAAAAATACATACATATATATACACACACACACACACATACATATATATACATATATATACACACACTATACACACATATAAACATATATATAAACACACACACACATATATATATACTTTTAACATTTGTTATAGGGGAAAATGGATGTAATTATTTGCTGACAAGGGGTGGGGTAGTGGCCTGCCTGAAAAGCTGGAGGAGCATGCCAGTGAGTTTGTTTTGTTTTTTTTAAGTCTTTGAGATCCTGGGTCTCTCCCAACCATCCGTAAATCTGCATCCTTAGCCCCAAATTCAGGGTGTGGATGCATGTGCCCGTGTGTGTGCGTGCGTGTATGCGTGTGCATGTGTGAATCCATACTGGATTAGTAGCCCAAGTTCAGTGGACCCTGGCGTGTAGCCTCTCAGGGTGAGAATACTGTCTTGTTCTTGCTCTCCCACCATGGTTACGATGACTACCTCCTTCCATTCGCTACATCAGAAATCATCCAGTGGGAAGAGGAAACCAATGTTGTCATACTCTAATAATTATATCCATCCCACAGTGGGCAACATATTTTGTTGTGATTATTAGAAAACTATATTATTAGAAATATGTATTGGAAAGCTTATCAATTTTCAACATCTTTATAACAATAGTTTATATATTTAAATAGTTTTTGTATCTTCAAGCATTAAATTTTCAGCTGGGAAATTATGTTCTAGTTTAGGGCTGACAGTAATAATTATTAGATCTATTTTTGGTTTAATACCTATTAAAAATATAGGCTCTGGCTTTGGATTTTAGAGGTATAATTTAATTAGACATTCTTAGCCATGAAGTGCACATTGAACTTTTCCTTCCTTATCTTCCTCAGTATCCACTAACATCAGCAGCAGCTTTGATAAGGCAGACAGATGCTGCTGCTGCCCCTGGTACTTGATAAAATATTGCTTCGAAGAGCTGGCTGATAAGACTTTTCTCCCTTAACTACTTGCATTTTATACAATTTTGAATCTTGACCAGATAATATCTGTAATTTAGAGAACATTGATTTGCAAGGTTGGCCGCATGTTGGAATCACCTGGGAAACTTTTTAAAAGGCTGATTTAATTGGAGTGGGGTGCAGCCTGAGTATCAAGATTTTTAAATGACTAATATTAGGTGAATCAAATATGCAGCAATTATTTAACAACTCTGTAATAGAAATTAATACAACAAATTTGATTCTTGTCCATGGAAATGCAAATTGTGCCTGGTGAAGATGCAATTGATTATTGCCCTGTGGATGTTGATTATTTTCACATAATTAAGCAAATTTATTTTGACATTCCTGATGGCATCTATCTATCTATCTATCTATCTATCTATCTATCTATCTATCTATATCTGGTCTTTGAATTCTCCTTTGAATGAGTTATAGTGTCTTGCTGTTTTATTAATAAATGAGTTAAATCTTTAAAAATATGCAGCAAAAGTTGGGTTTTACTGTTTTAGGGGATGTAGAAAGGGTCATCAAAGCAGGAGCTAAAAGAGTGGCACTAAGAGAATCATCCTTGGGCTAAGTTGATTTGACACCTGTCTAAAGAAGGTGCTTTTGGACTTTTAGCTCGGCCCCTCACCTGGGCTCCTGTGGGCTCTGAAATAGTGTGAGGTTTTCGGAAGGAGACTTTGGGAGTTTGCTTTTATTTTTACTTCTTAGGGAATGTGTGCTCAACCATAAAAGACAGTGGTCTTCCTAGCATCTTCTATGGGTAAAAACATATTTAGTATAAGGGGGAACTTCTTTCCCCCACTATTAAAAGTGCAGTTTAAGGGTGGTGGTCTCACAAGGCTGCCAAATGAAACCAGGTGATTGATATATACTGTATGTATAAATAATTAGATATGTTAAGAGACAAAATAATGTAAAATCCTTAGAAGGCTCAGTGTAACACATTTGTTGTGTGTCTGTGTACATTTTGTTATTTTCATGGTCTGTTTTGATATCAAGATGGTTTTCATAAAGAAGAAACAACATTTAGTTGATCTATGATCTTAAAGTACAGTGGACCTCATATCTACTTTTCTCTTTGAACTTTTAAAAGTTTTTTTCTGTATCACAATGGAAACATGCTTTCTGAAAAGGATAAGTGAAGAGTTTTGCAAAGGGCAGACCATAAAAGTGTAGCAAGATGAGGCATTTCACATTTTAAATTTTATTATAGAATGTTTTGTTCCTAATCACCTTTGCTATTCCACAGCTCATTATCACACTAGGGTAGACATTGTTCATGTCCATTTAACTTTTATCTCTACTCTACTTTGTCCATAACCACTCTGGATCTTCTAAAAACCCTTGAACCATTACCTATAAATTAATTAAAACCTGCAGCTCCCTCTATCTCTGGGCGCTCTGACTTCCAGCTCCCCCCTCCTATTCAGCCATCTGCTCTTGGTACCTGTGTCACTCTTCACACTGCCTTTCTAGCCTCTATCCATCCTGTATATTTGGTCCATCAGATGAACTCCTCTCTAGCACCTTCATCTCACTGAATTTTCTGTCTTTCCTCCTGGAAATATCCAAACGTGGCATCCCTTCTCCACTTCTTCATCCGAGTTGCCAAGCTTTGTAAGAGTAGATGAAACCGCTGTGCAGATTGGAGACACCAAAAATGCATGGATTTCCACATTCACAGATTGCCTAGTTCCTGTTCAGCAGTGCTTTTGTCCTCACACTTGGTTGGCTCCTGCGTTCCCATCAGTCACTTTGCCATGTTTTTACTAGTCTCTGTAGCCCCTTACACACTCACTAAACTCCTTTTTCTTTGTAGACAGCGATGTCTCTTACCTCAATACAGTGGAGGCAGTTGGATATGAATTGCCTTAAATTCATCCTTTCCACTAGCAGACTTTTCCTTTCACCTAACATTCCTTCTGTCCTCTTTTCCTTCCCTCTGGCCTCAGAGAACAGCCTCGAGTCTTCCCCAGTTTTAAACCAATGCTCGGCCTGGACTCTTGATGCCCTGCTCTGCTTTCTCCAAAACCTTGCCGCTCCACACCTCTTATTCTTCTTGTATTTTCACTCTTCTTTTATTGGCTCCTCCCACTGGGCCTATGAACATCTTGGAAGAACAAAACAAATCAAATAGTCAAAACTGTTTTCCTTTGACCCTGTGTTTCTCTATCCCCTGCTCCTTCGCAGTTCACTCTCATTTTAAGCTCAGGAGTTTGTAAGACAGTTCCACTTTGCTTTCTTCTCTCCCCTCTCTCCTCTGTCCTGTCCCATAACTTCCTCAGCCCACTTCCCTCCAGGCTTCCCCATACCCTGCATGCTTCGGGAAACACCACCAGTGGCCTCTTAATCACTGCATTCATAGGAAGCTTTTTCAGTCCTTACCTTTTGCATCCTCTACTGATTTTGACATTGAAATGCTGTTCTCTTGACTTCTGTGGCCAAAATACTTTCTGTTCTCCTTTTTTAACCATTCCTTTTTTACCTCTTTTTTTTGTGTGTTTCTTTTCCTCTACTTGCTCCTTAAAATTTGGAACTACTTCCCATTCTGCCTTAAATGGAGAGTAATTAACCCAACAGAACCACTTGTCAAAGCTTAAAAGAATGTATACAGTCTGGGGTGTCATTCCTGGAGTATCTGATTCAGTATGTCCTTCTAGAAACCTACAGTATCATGGCTCTGTAATATTCTGTCATATGCAGGTACCATAAATTATTTAACCATTTCTTAAATATTCATTCATTCAACAGATATTCATTGAGCACCTTCAAATCCCAGGTGCTACTGATTATTCAGTTTTTGTCTGTCATGAAAAGCACTCTGATAGGTAGCATTTGTTTCACTTCTTTCATAGTCTCAGGATAGACCGGATTACTCTATTAAAAGATAGGGTTTTCTAAGATCTTGATACCCGCGGTCAAATTTTTTCATAGAAAGCCCTATTTTTGCTTCTACCAACTCTAGGCTATGGTTTTAACTGCCAGTTATGTAAGAAAGTGGCTCCTGAACTCTTTACCACTAGACTCTGCTCTCTCTAGATTCATGTATCCAAACTGCTTTGAGTTCTCAATGAACTTGCCTCTTTGCCTTTCCAAACCCTAATGCCCCTCTACCTGAATGCCCTTGACTCTTTGGATATAGTCACTGCATTACTGCATGCCTAGGAATTGCTTATTTATTTCCCTAAGTTCCTGCATGCAGGGTTGTTCATCTTCGAGTATCCTTAGTGCCGGCACACAGGAGCTAATGAATACATGCTGAGCCAAATGGACTATGTGTGTAAATGTTTCCATGTTTTAGGAATTATTCTGTAGTTTTCTGTATGATTGGAACTTCGCAATTTGGAATCTATAGCCAACATTTTTTAAAAGATAATTGAGCACATTGTTAGCTTTTATTGGATTTAAATTACACAGTTTATATTAAGATATGTATTCATTATAGGTACTTTAGTAATTGGAGAAAATATAAATGGTAAAATGAAAACTGCCTGTTAATGCACTACCTTCAGATACCCAGTTGGCCTTCTTCATAGACATATGAGTGTATATGTCTGTCAAGTGTGTGTGTGTGTTTCTGTACATTTCTACACATTCATCTTCATGGCGCAAAATGTTTAGAATTATGTCTTTTTAATATAATATATGTTGAGCATTTTCCATCAATAAATATTTTGTAAAAAATACATTTAATGGCTAAACAACATTCTCTTGTATAGAAATATTTAAGTATTTGTTTAACCAGCTCCATATTGTTTTGTATATAGAATTCCTGCCAAGTTATTATTAACAAAAATGCTGGAGTAATATCGCAATAGCAGTTCATTTATTAGACAACTGTGTGTCAAGGGTCTAGTGACCCTGGCAACTATGTGCTCTGTGGAGTAAGATACAGTTTGATGTGGAAAGCAAGCAAACAGACTCTCAGAATATGCTGTGAGGACCGCTGCTGCTCTAGGGTTAGGAAAAGAATGCCAGGGACACAGAGGAGTTTGAGGGAGATGTCAGGGAAGGCTGCCTACCAGAGCTGCAGGGGAACAGACAACATGGTTATTGACTGATTTCTTTGCTCAGGATATTTGTTAGGATAACACTTGGTTAGTATGATGAAGAATATCCTTTTCTATGTAATATTGAGGGTTTTTTGAAACATTAAAGATAGATACGATTTAATCAAGTACATTTGGGACATTATTTAACTTATCTTTACTCTCCTTCCTTGACCTGTTGCTGTGAAAAATTATAATATGTTGCTTCTGAATATTGAAATAGCTTTGCTTCCTATTTTCTGTGAATGTGCTTCTTGATATAGATTGTTAAAGCTGTGTTCATGTGTGGTGTTGGTTTTTCTGCCCCTGTGGCTGGGTTTGGTATCTGAGGCATGCCAGCTGTATGAAATACTGTAGAATGCCTTCTGTGTTATCCTGGGCTCTGGAGCAGTTTAGGACATGCTTTATTCTTTAAAATTTGAAAGAAGTTGATAATAAGGTTCCAGGCCCAGTGAGTTTTTTTAAAAAGCAAATTCAGTGTAATGCTATGGCAACTCTCTCAGCTTTGTCAGTGCTGGTTATTCTGGTCAAGCTTTCCTCATTCTGGATCAGTTTGGGTAGTTGTGTGTTTTTCTACGATTTTACTAGTTCATCACAATTTTCAAATTCATTAGCACAGAGTTGAGTCTTTGATTTCTTTTTCACTTACTGCAGGCAGTGTTTTTGTTTGAAATATTGCTAGTCTAGACTATCATTTTCAGCATTATAACAGCGTGTCATCTTCCTCAAAGACAGGTAAGTCCAGCGGTATTTGAGATGTGAAACTCGGAGGTTAAAATGGGTTGATTGTAAAGGTGGGTTTACTCAGTTTACTTAGTAGTGAAGACTAGGAATAATCTTCACTTACAAGAGCATGTATAAATGGCTGTGTGTGCTGGATACAATTTTAATTTTATGCCATTGTCATTTATTTAGTGCTATTGAAATAACACTTACAGTTCACAGTAAGAGTAAGGTGCTTGCACTGGCATATAATGAGAGGAAGTAGGAATTATGTTTTTATTCAGTAGTAAAAATAGTACAGTTACATATGGTGATCTTTTTTCAATCAGATGGTACCTCTGTCAGTAAACAGAGGTGCCTTTTACAGTTCATTAGGATTTACTTCATAAAATGTTACCAATGTGAGTTTTGAAGGCTAAACGAAGAGGGAGGACGTACGGGTGCTAGCGCAGAGGCTATATGGTACCCAGCAGAACAGCATGAGAGAAGGATGAGCTGATAGAAGTAGGTGAGACATGACTTAAATCTCTTATAGATCTAAGGGAGCAATAGTTGACTCGAGTGCTTTCGGGGTACTGATACAGCTTCCCAAATGTTGACATAATTTATAATGTTAAAGATGATAAAATGCTAGATTCTTAAGTGAAACCACGCAGTGCCAGTTTTCAGTTTGTGTGTAGGTGCTTTTTTCTCTTTTTCTCTTCAGAATGCAGGTTCTGTGTCACAGGTTATTGTCTTGTCAGTGTTTATATGATCAGTAAACCACTCAGCTCCATCTAATTGCCATTATTACTAACGATTATGAGCTATGCAGCTCTAGAGAAACAGGGTTCTGTGCACAACGTTTACTGGTGGTACAGAGAGAGTGATGGGCTCTGGACAAGGGTGTTAGGGAAGTTTGCCCAGAGAAGCCCCATCTTGAAAGGACGCCCCACAGAGAAGGGACAGTGTGGGAGGCACCTTCAGGGAAGAGGACAAAGCAGGGGTTAAGTCCTAGGGTCTGGTTGAGCCTGGACTTCACTGTGCCTGATCTTGAAGAGAGAACAGAAGTGGCAAAGGGCAAAGAGGTAACTAGATTACAAAGAACCTCGTTAACCACACAGGGGAGTTTGAGCCTTATTTATCATCAAATTGATATTAAAATGATTTGTAAGGATACACTAAAGTAGGAGCCCCTCTGGGAGGGCCTAATACCTTTTTCCCTGTAACTGTTCACATTAGACCTGACACAGAGCAGGCATGCAATTGCAGTAAAAACACAGCATTCATTGAACCAAATCCTAACAACTTAGTGGGCTGCTCCTCCAACCTGTGATGCATTAGAGCCCAAGGCTCTTGGGGAATGAGAGGCAGGCCTCTGAGATGGTGAGGGAGACCCTCCCCACACGCACTTTAGCATAGACTGAAGAATGGTCAGAGAGCAAGGGGCTACTGTAAATCCTTATTTGAAGATTATGTAATTTCTATAAATGATTTGTTTTTAATTCAGTCTTCTTCCAGAAACCCTAAAAGAAAGATTATTATTTCTTAACGGCTCTAGGACTTTTTCCTTTTGTTCAGTGGTTTCAGATTATGTTTCACTAATAAAGAGACTTCTTTTATGATTATTTGTGAGTGTTGAAAATGAGATATTTTTGCATCATTTTCTTACACAAAATTTTTAATTTAAGGTATCACACAAGATAGTTCTTATAGCCTTTATCATTAACAGTTTCTGTGTATACATTTTTAATAGTATACATTTTTAATAGTTGTAGGACAAAAATTTAGTCTATACTATTAGTTACTTCTCTTCTAGCCTATTGCTGTTTTAGCCACTGGCCTTTCTGGATCTTAAAGATTACAGATCCATTCACGTGTTTGCTGGGATCTTTCTTCCAAGTGATGGCTCCTCCAAGTGTATTTAATGTAAAAATTGAATGAATTAAGATTACATGTTAATTTAAATACAGTAAGAACTCATTATAGTAAGAATGCATATTATGGGCTTCAGATTTACTGACGTGGTATGAGTATTCTTTTTGTTTGTATAACTATTTTTATTTTTAGGTAACAGCAACAGAGAAACTATTATTTATTTCTGAATGTATAGTTCTTTGGGAAATTGTTAACCCAGATCCCAGTGGTGGTGGGAGGGCATGATGGGGGATGTCTTAGAGTCTAACATGCCATTTTTTTCCCTTTGCTCCCCCTCCCCTAAATCAAGACTTACGGTGAGAGATGTGATTGCTGGGGAGTGTTACCCTTGGTAAAGGTTTGGCAAAAAGGATGTGTTGGAAACTGCCTCTTATATTGATGAACTTAAAGCTGTAGCTTTAGAGTCTAGCAGGCAGCCCTGAAATTAATGTAGTTGAGAAAGGGGCAGGATTTTTCATTTTTAATAGGGAATTACATGTATGCATAATATGTATGCACGTGGGATATTAGTTGAAATGTAAAACTATATTTTTTCTCTGTCACGGTGAAAAAATATAAATAACGCTTTACATATCAGTAAACTGTCTTGTATGAATCAGTTAAGAGCGTGTAGTAAATGACTACTTTCTTTGTAATTTTGGAGAGTGTCTTTAAAACACATCATATTTACCAGGAGAATTATAAAAACACACTAAATATAAACAGGAATTGTAATAAAACTTGCCCAAAGCAAAAGCTTTTATAATGGCTGTTACAAGCTAATTGGAGATTGTTTACCTATTGACGTGGAGCTATAGGTAGAAGCATTTGAGGAGGTACTTATTATATTTATTGTAGTAGCTGTCCTAAATCAGTAGTCTAAATTTATATACTGTTATTATCAAGATAAAAAGGTAACTTAGTTGAAAATTTTAAAAGCAGAGACTAGTATTTTGTAAGCAGATATAAACAAGTTATTTTTGTAAGAGTTTTGTTATGTTGAAGTGCAAACAGAAAGTGGCCAAACTTCAATTACTTAACAACAGCTATTCTGTAAGTATTTGTTAATCATGAGTTCTTGTTGCTTTAAGCCACAACTGATTCTATTAAGAAAAGTTGTTTTGATTATATAATGCAAAATTATGTGCACATAAACTATTAAGCACAGTTGTTACTACTGTGAATATATAATACATATATATTATTTATGATTCTTAAGTTTGGGTGAATTACTGGCATAGAAATAATAGTGCTTTGGTAATAAAAGTCCTTTTACATGTTTTTCAAGTACTATATGTTATGTGATTTGTTTATTATTTATAGTTTGAAAATCTGCAGGTAATTCATGTATTTCGTTTTTTAAAAGTGGGTCTTAGCCTTTTGTTACTTACACTGTGTTAATACGGATTTCATGCAAGCATTCCATATTTTTCTGTCTGAAGCAAAACTACCACTGAGCACAGGATCCAGTTTCTGCATTTAATGTGTGTTTTTTTCCAGGACTATTTCAACTTCACTCATCGTTTCATGAGCAGTAACTAAAGTTTATAAATAAGAAAAATTGTCTTATTCCAAAGATTGCCTGTACTACTCTCAAATTATATTCTGGATCTGATAATTCGCAGGAAGCAAATAAGACATTGCTGTGGGCGATACATTTATCAGGATGAAAATTTAGTTATTTTTGACTATTGTTGAGATGTAATGTCCTATATTTCAAACTAGCTTGCTTCCTTTGTTCTGTTCTCCCACTTTGCCTTGGCAAGTTGGATCAATATGCAATTGAAAGACGTTTGATCTGTAAATAGAAGGTTCTCTGAATTTCTTGGCCTTTCTGGCAAGATAGGGAGAGAGGCAGGTAGATCAGAGTTTGAAGGGCCCATGGTGTGCGGTGTCTGCCTTTTATTTATTTGGAGTAGGATACCATATTGGAGGTTACATCTTCCATGGCCAGTGAGCAGCGGTAGGGTCAGCATTGGAGACAACTTCTGAGCTGATGCGTTTATTTAAATTGTACTTACACATTTGGGATATGTAGAATGTTATATAATTATCAATATTGTCTTCAGTTCAGTACAAAATAGTACCCTGGGAATTTGTTCCTTTTGCCATTTTAATAAGTACCTAGACCAGTGTGTTAAATTTGGAATCGATTACTGCCCATGTCATGAAGTATGTATATCCTTATAAAGTTTAAATTAATTATTATTGAAATAGAGCATGCACATATTTACAAAATCCAGTTGTGCCCAGAGCCCCAGGTCAAAGAACAGCAGGAGCAAGGCACTGCTCCCAATTCTCTTAGTTATTGCTCCTGGGTTACATCTGTCTGACAAAACTGTGCACATGTGTAGCAGTTCTGCAGTGAGTTGTGTATAGTACCTCTTGAATGCAGTACTCTGTCCTCATACTTCATAGATGCTGTCAGCTCTATGCTGCCAGCAAGGGATATAGACACTTTCTGCCATGCCATATTTCAGCTCATCCTCGTCTCTGTTTTTCCATCCTTTTCTGTCTTCTGTCTTAAGTCTTAGCTTTGCTTAATCTGGTTGTTTCTAAGCTAGTAAGCATTTGTTATATCTCTAAAATCCCTATTAGGTACTTTGTATGTAAAGATAGTATTATTTTTAGATACTTTGATTAGATGACTAGACTTTTAAAGCTGTAGTTCAGTATCTAAAGTGTACTAATTATTTGCATTATGGAAACATTTATTAATTGGAAATAGTCCTTGTGACTAAGAAATGATTAAAATTATGAATTTAAAAGGGAATATATCCTTCAACAGTTTATACACATCTGTATCATAATTTATTCAACACATTTTTTACTAGGTATCTGACACTGTTTAAAAGTAGTATGTTTGCTTTACTGTACTCTTATTTGTTTAAGGTAAATTAATTTATAAATTTTTCTCTGTTTTTCTTAGACAAAATTGAAGAAGCACAAAAAGAACTTAATGGGGCAGAAGTTTCAAAAAAAGGTAAATTAAAATCAGCTTGAATGTAAACTTTATTCTTGCAATGATGCCTATACATATACCTCATAAATGTAGCCTTATGAAATAAATCAGTATAGACATATCACAAAATTAGAAATCCCCTTGAACTTATTGATACTTAAAATGTTGTGGACTTTGCTTCATGAAACATTTTAGCCACATAGCACATTCTATAACTGTTTCCCACATATTAATGTATGACTGGTAGAAGTGTGAAAGGTTATTGCAGCTCTTTTGAAAGTCCTGTTTGTGAGACTGTCCTGTAGCAATAAAAGTACCAATATAAGGAACACAGTTGGCCGTGTCCATGCATGTGTGTTCATGTGTGCATTCATGTGATGCAGTTTTCTTTTTTTTTTTGTAGCGACAAAAACCTAAGGCAACTAAAACAGCCTGAATACCAGTCAGTGGAAGAACAGTTGAATCATTTGTAGTATACTCATATTTTGGGGTATCACGCAGCTTTGAAAAAGTGTTAATTACTTTAGTTGATGGTGATAACTTATCAAATAAGAAAAATAACATTGCAATGTAGTATGTAAAATATCTTATTTTTTTGTGAAAACTAACAAAGTCAAGTGTGTATACAAGTATTTATATGTATATATATATACGCATACACACACAGAGGCTTCTGTGAGATTGGACAATGTTGGAAAGGATTTATACACAGATATGTGTTAATAGTGGGAAGAGGAGCAAGGGAAGATGACCCACTCATTTATATGCCTTTGTATTATTTCACCAGCTGCAATGGGTGTAATTTTGTATTAAAATTAAAAACTTGAAAGGAAAAAATTGGTTTTCACCATAGAAAACATAGATTATCTTTCCAAGTAATATAAAAAAATAGATGTGATGCAGAAGAGCATGTAGGGATGGTCAGGTAGTGAGGTAAATACTGTTGAAACACTATCTGTTAATGAGCAAAATTGATTATGTGCTTTTAATATTGTGGGCAAATAAAGTTCTCTTTATGACATTTGTATTCCGTGATTTATTATTTATTTTGCCTTGTATCTTCAAATTACAGCAGACTATTTTGACAGAGTAATTTAGCTAAATAGGATTCCAGTTGAAAGCCGTTTTACAAAAAATAGCTTTTAAATCTAGTTAGACTACTGAGCAGGTATCTGTAGGGGAAATAATTTCCTGCCATCCCAGTTCTCCATCCCTTAAACCAGCCTGTGAAGCCTTCAGGATGGTTTGGGGTTGGTCTTACATTTATGGGGTACTATGTAGCACCCCTCATGTCTGCCTTCTCCTCACCCCACGCTCCTTCCATGGGAGCTCTGGAAGGGCCATGTATATCTGACCCTCTAATGACATTCTTACAGAAAAACAAGCATAGAAGAGTAAAGATGTCTCCATGGCCACCTTGTCCCTTTGAAGGGTTGACTGACTTAAACGCATGAGGCATTTGAGACACTCAGGTTATAAGAGGCCATACTTTTAAAGTTTTCTTTCTCTATAGCCAGCCTTTTTTTTTTTTTTTTTTTTTTTTACATCTAGTCATGGTTTAGAGCTGCTTCTAGTAGCAAAGCAAATGTGAGCCTGTCTTCCTTTTCCTTGTTACTTCTTTGGCAAGAGTTTTCAGAACAGTGAACTAAATGCCTGATAGGAAGGAGGAAATGAAACAAAGGTTCTAGAAAGAGAAATTGGATAATGAGGTTCAGAATAATGGATTGGGCTACAGTTGGCAGGCTACACTTATTTAAGAGCTAGGATGAATACCAAGTGAGCATTGTTCTGTGCAGTTCACTGCATAGAATTACTGCTTGGCTTTCATTTTTATACAGAAATTAAAAATAAAATAGTTTTCCCTTTCAAATATAAGTAAGAAATAATATCAGTTTCTCTTTAACAACATGAAAAGTCTGAGTAACAGTGGTGTTGAGATTTTTCAAACCTTTTCTTGCTGATACCTATTTTATTTTAAAGGATATTCATTTCTTCCATCAAAGAATATACTTTAAAAATATAGACGTTCATTTTAGATTATGGTAAGTCATCTACAATAGATCTCTTTTTCATTGTTTTTCTGACGTACTTTGGGTTTTTTCACCCTGTAAGTTTAGCCACATTGCTTTTTAAAAAAATTATTTTTAAACACTGCTTGTAGTTCTAAGGCTTTGTCTCCATTAAAGGTTCTGTGGTCTTTAACTTATTTGAGGCTCTTTCTCCCTTTCTCTCTTTTTTGTAATTATTAGGACAAGTAACTAATTTATTTTCAGAAGTATCTAGCATAGTAGTAGGCTCTTAAAAGCAACTTCCTCATTAATAGATTAAAAAAGACATTTCCTCTTGTATTTTAATAATTTAAGGAGGATTAAATCTGTTTAGTGTAATATGGAAGTAAAGAAACTGACTTTGCCTATCATACACCAATAGAATAAAGAAATGCACTAAATTATGTTAATGTACTTATTTTATTCTTTTTCTCTTTTGAATGAAAATCAGATGACTTTAATTTGATTTATTTTGATTTTAATCAATTTAGGGATAGAGATAAGGATGCAACATTCACACAAGTCTCCATAAAGTCATTATGTTTTTCCTTACAGTGCTATCTCCTGATTCTTAACACACATTGTGCTTGACACTATTTTTAAAATTGTTGAGTGGGATTTAAATGAAATAGTGACTGTCACAGATGTGGTAATGGAATATGAATAAAATTAACTGGGAAGAAATAAATAGATCGATTAGGAGAGCTTTTATGGCTTTCTCAAGCTTTAATTTTAATACTCTTAAATTTTTATCATACAATGTTTGACACATATAAATTAATATATGTAGCATATTAAATTACAAAGCATAAGAATGACATGGTAATCTTTGATTCTCACACCCAATTTAAGAACGGGAATGTTGCCAGTACCATTGTATCCACCCACATGCTGATCGGCAATTCATCCCATTGTCTCTTCTGTAGAGGTTTTACTGTCCTTAGTTTTGTGTTCATCATTTCAGTCCTTTTAAAAAACAATTATGTCATATAAGTATGTACCCCCAAACAATATATTTTCTAGTTGTGCCTGAGTTTGAACTTTTAAATGAAACCATATTGTACGTAGTCTTCTGCAGCTTTTTTCACTTAACGTTGTTCCTAAGATTCACCCATGCCGTTGCACATAGCTGTTACTTTTCATTGTTGTAATATTGCACTGTATGAAATTGTTGGCCCATTCTTCTGTTGATATTTAAGTTATTTCCACCTTTTTGCTATCATAAACAATGCAGGTATGAATATTTTTATATCCTAGTGCCTATGTGTGAGTTTCTAGAGCATATATAGGGAATGTGAATGTTCAGCTCTACAAAATGATGCTATATTGTTTTCCAGAGTTTTTTTTGGGGAAACTTTTTGCATTCCCACTATCAGTGTCCAAGAATTCATTTTGTACTATCAAGTACATGGTATGTTTAGTCTTTTTTTTCCTAATTGGATAGATGTTAAATCCTCTTTTATTCTGCTTTGATTTTTGTTTCCCTGGTTACTAATGTTAAAAGAAAAACTTTAGACACAAAAAGTTTAACTGATTTTATTTAAACAAAGAATGATTCATGAATCAGGCATCATTCAGAACCAGAAGAGGTTCAGAGAGCTCTGCCGAGCAGTGTGAGCAGCAAGCTCGTACAGGCTGAACTCGCAAGCAAAGTGAGAAATCACCTGATTGGCTGCAACTAGCCACCTGCCTTGTTCAGGTAGGGTGTGATGAAGTATTTGCCTTATTTGGGCATGATCTGATCAGTTGACTTCCTGTGATTGGCTGAAAAGTAGCTATTTTTTACAAAAAATACTCTAAATTAGGTTTGTGTTTGCGCACTAAATGAGGTTGTAGTTTGTTAGGTCATAACTCGAGGTAAGGAGACAGCCTCAGGCAAATGGCCTCCTGCTTATTTAATTTAATAATGTCAAACATGTCTTCATTTGTATTCCCCCTTACTGAAATGCTTGCTATTATTATTTGTCCATTTTGTAAAAATTGAGTTATCTTTTTCTTAATATATTTTGAATAACTATTCATTTTATGTGCTTTATTTTTCAGATTTATTTTTTACTTCATTTAAAGTGCCTTCTATTCACTAAAGTGAATAGAAGCTCTTGATTTTAATACTGTCAACCTATTAATTTCTTGATTTTGTGATTCATTTTTTTGTATTTTTATTTGTCTTAAATTCTTCTCTATCACAAGGTCTTAAGTATATATATATATTTTCTATATTTTCTTCTAAAAGACTTTCACGTTTCAGATTAAAAACCCATCTGGAGTTTGTTTTTTTAAAAAAATATACCTAGTTTTTTAATGTAGTGTAAGTTAGGATTCAAGTTTCTTTTTTTTCTCAAGTGGGTAACCATTGCTAATATTGTTAAATGTCCCTGAAACATTTAGTATGTTTTCCTTTTACTGTTTCGTATTAATTTTTCATTTTTGTGTGGGTTTGCTTCTTAGCTCTCTATTCTGTTCTGTGAATTTGTTTACCCATATTTTAATATCACAGTATGTTAATTACTTACCACTTTATTGTCTTGATATATACAGTGTGCAATAACTAGTATATACTATATACAGTAGGGCAGATTCCTTGTGTTATTTGCCTTCAGGAATGTTTTCACTATTTCTAGTCCTTTGCTCATCTATTTGAATTTTAGAATCAGGTCTTTAAAAAACTTGTTGGAATTTTGTTTGGGTTTGATTGAATCTGGGGCAAACTGACCATCTTCACAGTTTTCAGGCCTTCTATTCAAAAAAGATTGTATATTTCTGATACTTGTGTTTTCTTTAGTGTCTTATCATTTTCCTCCATATGAATCTTTATTTTTTTCTGCTCTATTTCTTAGAATTTGGTGTTTTCCTCATTTTAATGATTTTTTCTTTTGTAAAATTGTTTTCTAGTTCCTGGCAAATAAAAATGCAATATATTTTTGAATATTTATTTTTATATCCAGCTACTTGGCTGGATTCTCATTCATTATGAAAATTGTCTGCTGGTGTTTTCAGATTTTCTTGTCATATCAGCTGGGAATAATGAAAGTTTGTTTCTTCATTTTGAAATAATTGTTTCTTTTATTTATTTTTCTTATCTTGCTCAGTTGGCTCCAGTAAAATTGGTATCTTAGACTTGCTCCTGATTTTAAAGAAAATGCTTCTAATTTTTCACCATTAAAATGTTTGCTATCTTTTTTTGTGGGAAGAGAGTCTGTATATTTTTTAGTTGCTTAAAGGTGTTATCTTCTATTTTTTATTTGTTGAAATTATTTTTAAAAATCATAAATGGATTTTTATTTTTATCACCTTTTGTTTCTATGTAAAGATGATCTTACTATGTCCTTTATTCTTTCATTCTGATGTTTAAAAGTGACTTACGTATCTTTAAACCAATTTGGTCATGATGTTTAATCTTAATCACTGCTAGATTTGATTTGTTAATATTTTATTGAAGAATTTTGAATCCATGTTCAAGGCATTGGTTTATATTTTTATTATGTTTTATAATTTTCTGTGCCTGATTTTGTTTTAAGGTTATGCTAGTTTGATAGGATGATCTGAGGACTATATGCTTCTGATTCCCATGGAGCTGTTTGTTTGATATTGGAACTGTACCTTTGTAGGCAAGTCTTACAACATATTTTGACTTTTGGGAGGGACTGCAGGGTAGACTTTTAACTCCCAAGTGTACTTAACAATAAGGGATTATCCAAACATTCTATTTTCTCTTCAGTTTTAGGAAGTTGTATTTTTCTTATAATTTATCCATCTTATCTAAACAGTCACATCTGTTGGCAAAAAATCAGTCGTAGTATTTTCTTACTCTCTTTCATTTCTGCTGGGTGTGTAGTTATGTCTGTTTTTTATTGCTTCTATCATTGATTTGTGCCTCTCCTCGCTTTCTTGATTAGTGTTGCCAGTTTTCTGTTTTACTTTCTTTTTATTTTGCCAACATCTGATTTTCATGATACTTTCTTGCCTCATCCTTTTTAGTTTCATTAAATTTTGTTCTTTATTATCTTTTCCTGTCTTTTTCTTCAGGTTTGTTCTGTTACTCAAATTTCTTAACTTGGAATGCTCATTCATTTTTAAGCCTTTATTCTGCTCTATTGGAATCACTTAAAGCTGTTAATTTCCTTGTAAGTATTGCTTAGATGTATCATACACAATTTTATATTTATTAGTTTCATTCTTTTCTATGCTGGTTTCTTCTCTGACCCTCCCCCCACCCCAAATCATGTTGGAATTTTTTTTTCTCCACATGGATGGGGATCTTATTTATTTTTAGTAATTTCTCACTTAATTGCATTGTATTGTTAATTGTTTTTTAAAACCATTTAGGATATCCAAAATTATTTCTTCTCTGTTTCTGAATACCATGTAATCAAAATTTTCTGAGAATGTAGTATAAAAGTACTCATAGATTTTATGTTAGAAATTGAGCATTTTATAAGTAAATTAATCATTTTGCCATGATGAAAAAGCTGAAGTTGAATAATGTTAAATAACTTAACCCAAGGGAGTGCAACCAAGAAAGTACATGAGGAAAATCAAGCCCATGTCTTGGACTGTGCTATTCTGATATTATTCCCTGGTATAACTAGATAAGATCTGTGTTATAGTGATAGTTGAATTTCTGGTACAGTTTTATTTCTGTTCTAACTTACCTTTTTGAATGATGAGATTATGATAGCAGTCACCTACAGAAATGTTACGATGATCCAGGATAAAAGAGTTAGGATTCAGACAATGGCCATAGAGAAAGGTAGAGACTTTAGGTCAGCTTGCATTATGATTTTTTTTTAACATTATTTTCTGTCTCACAATAAGAACCTACAATTGCCACTATCATTACCAGTAATTTCTTTTCAGCAGTAGTGGTATCACTCTTACATTATATACTTCAGCCCCAGAACATTTTTATTTTTTAAATAATTTCTGTGAATATCACCATCTATATAAGAGTAAGAGGGCCTAAATATACATAGGTAGTTTATATGAGTTAAGAAATATAGTAAGGAAAACTGTTCTAGTAATACTGAATGATATTCATATTTGCTCTGAAAAGTCAGTTGATAAGTGGGATTTTTGTTAACATAGGCATGATTTATGCCCTGAAATATGCTTCTCTTGTCTGGGGAAGCTTGAGGGAAGTTAGGTTCCTGTGGAAAATGAGACTAAGTCAGAAGTGAGAGTGGCTCCATTGGATCATGAACTCTAATTGGTGTGTCAGTAAAAATGCTAGTTTCTCGCCTACTTTTCTACATTAAAAAATGAATATTTTTATTCATTTTACAATGATATTATTAAAAAAATATAATAATATTTTTGAAGATAATGTGAATGAGTTTCCAAGGGGTGAAAAATGGTGACTCTCATTTAAAAAAAAATTTAATTACCACACATAACATTTTTTAAAACGAAGGCTAATTTCGAATAAATATTTTATGTTAATAAGGCCATGCTTTATTGCCAATGACACTCTTCCTTAAAAATTCTGCTGAGTATAATTAAGAAAATACAAGGACATATTCTTGTAATTAGGGATGACAAAGTCCTTCCCATGTAATACTGAAATTTAGGTAGTATAGTAGAAAAGATGGACAGATTTTATTAAATTAAAATGAAGAATGTCAATACCATAAGAGAGAAGGTGAAAATGTTTTAAAACTGGGAGAACATTTGTACAATAAAACAAAACTTGATAGGCTTACCTTAGAAGGGTATTGACAATTTACAAAATGAAAGCTCATGTGGATATGGCTAGAGGAAAGGCTAGTATAGTATTTTTGTGAGATGTCTGAATGGAATTCTGTATTTTAAATGGAATGCAGTTTTATTATTTTAATATTATATTGATGTTAACTAGTTTATTTTTTAACCAGTGTGGTCCTTGGGTTTCTTATTAGGAAATAATATATTTTAGTGAATCTGTTTAATAGAGGTTTATTTTAAAAAACAGTATTTGTACATCTTAGTCTCTTAATGTTAAATGCCCTAAAAATTATGTTTTTTCCTTGTACCTCTCATTAATTTATTTAGTAAATTGTTGTTGTGCACCAGCCATTTTTTTTTTTTTTTGCCCTGAGAAATAGATAGGAAAGAAAAAGTCTAAACCTTAAAGGAGCCCGCAAGCTTTAACCCAGCTCTTACCCAAATCATCATAAATCCTGAATTGGTAGAGCAAAAATTCATGAGGTAGACTGGCAGCAGTGCCTAACAAATTTCCCTTGGGAAAACAGTAACAGATTTTTTATTTTTTAGAAAAGAAAGTCATCTCCTTTTTTTACTATTAAAATTTCAAATTTAAATATTCACATCTTACGAAGTATTCTCTTAGTGTAATAGACAGTGAATGCTGTGAGCTTGAATTACTGGGAAATTAGTATTTTAATTATTTGTGTCATTTATATAAGTTAAAGGTATCATGTGTTAACCATGTCAATATTTTGAGAAATTTGAAAATCCCAAATCCCAAGAGATCATTGCCTTTCAGATAGACTGCCAGCTTTATGAAAGATGATTTGCATAATGATATAAACAAAGCATTTTGTAGTACATTAATGTAAAATAAATGTCTTCAAATATCTGTCCTCACTGTGTTTAAGTTCAGAATCCTAAAACATTGCTCCTTTTGAAATATGAAAGCAAAAATTCTCAGTATTTCCTAACAGTGTTACTTATCATGGTCTATTGAGCCATTCATTAGAGACTTAAGTAGCTAACCTGATTTTAATTTTATAGGATGATTCATAGAAAGACTCACATTCTTGTGCATACTTATAGCATATTTCATTGACTTCAAAATGCTATTGATTGCAAGATGCACAATGATTTTATGCATCCTTTAGCAAGGAGAAAAGTCACTGCCAATTAAGTTATGACACAGTGCTCTTATAATTGATTAGAAGATGCATCCTGATTTTAGAGGGATTAAAATGTTTTTTAAAATTTGTCTTACATTATATTAAATACATATTTATGTCCACTGGTACATTTTTTGACAAGAAAGATAAAGTATTTAAGGTAATGGCATATGGATTTGAGCTGCTTTGACAGAATCCCTGAGGACTGTGAAAAACAAAGAAATGAATCTTATCCTAGAGGCTCATTTGGGGATTCACGGAAGAGTGGTATGGGGAGAAAAACCCAGGTTTTGTTTGTTTCACTTTGCTTCTTAGGTAATTGACTTCATGCCATATATCTGAGTATTTTCTATATAAATAATGCCACAGAGTGACTTATAAGGATAATATGTGTTGCTGTTCATCTATTTAGGCTTTTCCCCAGGTTTGCTACTGTATTCTCTGTATGAGACCAAAAAGAAAGAAAGAGATAAGCTTGTATATATTTTGCCTACGTAGAGATTTGCTCTTTTTCTCATGTTTCCTCAGAGAAGAGAGCAGACATGTTGCATAAACCTGAAGAATATAATTTGAGGGCAGAAATAGTAGAAAATAAAAGTGAGAGGAGGCAGATAAATTGAAGACAGATAAAGAACTGGGAGGAAGTCTATAAAATGAATTTAAAAAATTAAAAAGCAAAGCATGGAGATAACAAAGTATTTAACCAACAATATGGTGTTCTTTTATTGCTTCACTGTGCAAAGGGTATTTTGTGGAGCTATGCTATATGCAGGAAATTTATCAAACTTTGAAGGATGTAGCTTAGAATTTTTCCCTGACCACCAAGCAATGGGGTATAAAATTATTTTATTTAAGAAAAGCGTTGGAAGTAGCAAATAAGATTCTGTGGATGAGTGGGAAGGGCAAGAAGAGGACTTAAAAGCATTGCAATGAAAACAAATGTATGTAGTAACATTCATGCATGGCCTGATCTGCGGTGGGAGGTGGACTGCAGGAGCCCGAGGAGCAGACGCTTTGGGAGTCCAGCCCACTGTGAAGGAGCAGGAGCCAGAGGGAAATGTCACTGAGTTTTTTTTTTTTTTTTGAGACGGAGTCTCGCTCTGTCGCCCAGGCTGGAGTGCAGTGGCGGGATCTCGGCTCACTGCGGGTTCACGCCATTCTCCTGCCTCAGCCTCCCAAGTAGCTAGGACTACAGGCGCCCGCCACTACGCCCGGCTATTTTTTGTAGTTTTAGTAGAGACGGGGTTTCACCGTTTTAGCCGGGATGGTCTCGATCTCCTGACCTCGTGATCCGCCCGCCTCGGCCTCCCAAAGTGCTGGGATTACAGGCGTGAGCCACCGCGCCCGGCCTCACTGAGTTTTTGGCCTGGAGGAGTGTGTTTATTTCAGCAGGCCCACCCCACATCATGTAGTTAGCCATTTAGTAACTGTTTAACATGACCCTTATATGTGAAGAAAAAACGTGGTAACATAGATGCAACTCACTTCTCCACACCCTCACCCTCTCACCTCTGCCTGGGGTCTCCTCACATCTTCCCCTATACAGTTTTGCCCACAGTCATAGCACAGCACTTACTACAGTTCTTAGTGCATGTAGTAGGCATTTGACAAATGTTTATTGAATCGATGATGGATGGTAGAGGTGTCAGAAAGGATGGATTCCTTTACTTAACAGGCAGGATTTGTAAACAGTGCGTTATTATTGCTTTGATTTCTTAAGTGTGGTTAGATATGTAATCTAGATTGCTTTTCTGAAGTAAGTTGTTTCTTTTGTCATATTAAATTATCTAATGCAGTGATGTATACAAATAGTTTGTGTATGTCGTCACAAAAATAAAAGGTTCCTTCTTTAACAGCTCCAAATGAATCCTTTCTTATGACTTCATTGAATCAGGAAGACTCAGACTACTCTCAGTGTAGTTATTTTGTGATATCATAACATCTTTGTAAACCTGGTGGGAGGTTGTGATAGTGTGAAGAACTGAGGATTCCAGATTTCTGGTGTTAACACTACAACTCAAACGTCCTGGTGGTAGAAATGTTAATCAAGGGGAGTTCACATTTCCCTGTTCTGGTAATAGACAGTATTGCCCTGGATTTAACCTTTTCTTGCTGATGTAGGGTCAGTTGGAGTGCTAGTAAACTATCTGCTAGCTGGGGCAGGCTTAGAGGGGTTGGTTGGGGAGGGAGTTAACAATTTATAGCATTTTTCAAAGTGGTAAAAATACTCCCCACCATGGATGATTTCAACCTACCGAATGGTTGCGGCTTGCAGAATTCCTGAATATTTGTTTAGTAGTGGAGTGGTCCACAGCACACATTGCTTGGAAAAATCATTATCATACTATATTCTTGTGGATTCAGCTACTGTATACAGTAAGAGACAGACATAACACTGACTGGACGCTAATCCTAAGTTTAGAGATCCTAGAACTTTCTTAGAAAAATCACTGAAGTCTTTGGAATCTTTCTCATGAAAGTGGAGCAAGAGGATATAAATTTGAAAGACTCAGGGCAGAGAAATGTAACTATTATTCTGTAAACCTAGTGTTTTAGTTGAAGGCTGAATCAACCTTCTGCTAAGTGATTTTCTTAAACCTGTAAAAATAACAGCAGAATACAGGGTGAGTATCCCTAATCTGAAAATCTGAAATCTAAAGTGCTTCAAAATTGGAAACTTTTTGAGCACTAATATGATGCTCAAAAGAAATGCTCATTGGAGCATTTCGGATTTCAGATTTTCAGAATAGGGATGCTCAGCCGGCAAGTATAATGCAAATATTCCAAAAGCTGAAAAAAACATCAGAAATCCAAAACATTTCTGGTCCCAAGCATTTTGGATGAGAGATAGTATGTGTTTGGTTTTCTCATCAGTGTCAGTTATCTTGTTAGCAACATTTAGATTTTTGTCTTTCAGCTTTCTGCTACTTTTGTACAAACCATACTGTACAACATTAGAGCAAGTTATAAAAATAGAAAATGTATTTATTTCATGACACTTCACATCAGTTGTCACTTTTCTATTACCTTTTGTGCTAACCCAGCTATATCATAGCCAAAGAGGACCTGTGTTGAGTTACAAAATTGTTCTTACCACTTTCTGTGAAGTACTTGTCAGGAGTCAGGCAAAGTGCTTATTGAAAAGGCAAATAAGAAGGTTAGTATAACAAATACTCTAAGTATATACTTGGTTTTCTTCTCTTAGTGGAGTGTTTAAAAGACATAGTTAAGTAATGATAACAGTGTATTTTTGAACTGTAACATTTATAAATACAATATGTATATAACATGTATAAATACAATATGTATATAACAAAAGGAGGAAAAAGGAAAATAGAGCTATATAGGCATAATGTTGCCACATCTCACTGGAATTAAGTTAATATAAACCTCACTGGAATTAAGTTAATATAAATCTAAAGAGACTCTGAAGATGTGAGGTAAGTCCTAGAGCTACTACAAAGGAAATAATCAAAAATCTCTATAAATGAAAAAATTATTAAAGAAATTAAATATTACATTTGAAAATATTCACTTAATGTAAAAGAAAACATTAAAGGAGAAGTAGAGGAACAAAAAAAGACACAAGACATACAGAAAACAAAAAGTTAAATTGCAGGCACAAATTCAGCTGTGTCAATAATATCAATAATATGAATGGATTAAACAGTCTAATCAAAAGGCATAGATTGTCAGACCAGATTAAAGAAACAAGATCTGACTATACACTGTCTGCACTGGCACTCACTTTAGATCCAAGACACAAATATATTGAAAGTGAAAGGATAGGAAAAGATGTATCATGCAAATAACAAGCATAAGAAAGCTGGAGTGGCTATGTTAATATCAAAAGGGACTTCAAAATAAAAAATGTTACTAGAGGTAAAGAGGGACATTTTCTAATGATGAAAGTGTCAATCCATCAGGAAGGTATAGCAGTTATAAACATGTATCCACCTGATAATAGAGCCTTAAAATACATGAAGCAAAAACTGATAAAAATGAAGGGAGAAATAGACAATTCAACAATAACAGTTGGAGACTTCATTACCCCACTGTTAACAATGGATGGAATCTTCTAGACAGAAGGTCAGCAAGGAAATAGAAGGCTTGACTACCAACACTGTAAGCCAAGTAGACCTAAATACTCCACCCAAGAACAACAGAATACACATTATTCTCCAGTATACATGGAATATTCTTCAGGATAGACCATCACCTAGGCCATAAAACAGTTGATCATTAAATCAAAAAGAATTGAAATAATATAGTTTGCTCCAACTGCCATGGAATGAAATTAGAACTCAGTAACAGAAAAATGTACTGATGTGAAAAAATTCTTCCAGTCCCACATTGTCCCTAAGAGGAGGAGAAATGTCAGTCAGCAAACCAAACTTCTGTTGTACAAATGACACCAAGGCTTTCCAGACAAGTAGACTAGGAACATTGCTGTCATACTGATAACAGGTAATTCTGCATTTGAATTCCTCTACATGAGGAAACTAGCAAAGATAAGTGCCTCTGGAAATGTTTTCTTTGAAACAAAAATACAGCTTGATGTACAACTACAATTCCTCCAAGAAAAACCTCAAAGTAAAAAACATCTTCGTAAATATCAAGCAAGAAGCGCATTATTTGAAGATACAGAAATAACATTTGATCTCATTTTCTTAAGGTAGAGTCAGAGCATGTTAAGAGCTGAAACTTTTAGTACAGAAATACACTTGTGACCCAGTGTTGTTATGTTGTCAGTTCTTAAGTACATACTTATAAAATGATTTTGTTTTTTTATGTTTGTTTTATTTTAATAGTGTTCAGTCTACTTTAAATATTTTGTATTTTAATAATTAGAATAATAGCTTTTTAAAGAAAGTTATTTTAAAACATCAAATAAAATATATGTTTATGAGTTTTTTTATGAGAAGGGTATTAAACATTTAGTTTCACTGAAGCTAAAATACCAGTGTTAATCCCGGCCCTGTAGTATGATAGAAATATACATGCTGAAATAGTGGTGTAGCCATTTTGTCCTAGTATTGCAATTGCAACCAGCGATGGTGTTGATTATGTAATAATAATAATAATAATAATAATAATAATATCAACAGAAGCAATAATAATGAACTAAAATTGAAGTTCTGGGCACAATGCCAAGCTGTCTACATGCATTATCTCAAATAATTCTCACAACCCCATGAGGTGCCATTATCTGTGTTTTGCAGATAATGAAGGCTCAATAATAGAACTTACCCAAGGTCACATAGCTGAAGCGGCAGAGCCAGAACCTAGACCCTGGCTTCCCTGTCTTCAGAGCTCACCAGAGGACATATGTGAACAGTGATGATTTGAGAAAAAGTGAGCGGAAGTGGTAACTGGATGCAAGAGTCCAGGATAGTTTCTAGTTTAGACAACTGCATGAATGGCTGTGCCACACATGGAGACTTACTATTTTTTTTTTTTATCTATCTGGACTTAACTGTATTAGGCAGCTGTTATTATATTTAATATTCTGGAAAATTTAATATACGTTACTTGAAAGTTTTGAGTGTTTTTGAGGGAAGGAGAAGAGTATTGTGTAGGTCTTCAATAGTGTATTCTTATTTTCTTCCTCAGAGACCTGTTAAAGTTTTTGCTTTCTTGGGCTAATTTTATTTATAATATAAGTTAAATTTTATGTGTTATTCAGGTTGTCTAAGTTAAAATAGAATACAATATTCTCATAATTTTAAAGAGTTTCTTTTAGTTTTCCATTTGTGCAAGTTTGTTGTGGCAAATTCTTTCAAGTGTCATATATTAGAAAAGGTCTATTTCACTTTCATTGTTGGAAAATATTCTTGCTGGGTTTGGAAGCATAGAAAATCTAGCCTGGCATTTTATTTTCCTGAGTACATTGTTGGTGTAGAGGTGTCACTCTATTGCTTCTTTGAAGGTAATCTGGCTTTTAAAAATTACTAGTAATTTTAAAAATTATTTTTAAGATTTTGGGCCTTGTCTTTGACTTTCATAGTTTCAAAGTGATGTGTACAGGTATGATTTCTCTATATTTGTCTTGCTTGTGGTTTAGAGTGCTCTTGAATCTGTAGATTCATGCATTTCATTCATTTTTAACAATTTTTAGACTTTATCTCCTTACATATTGCCTCTGCCTCATTGTGTATCTTTCCACCTTCTTTGTTTTGTTACTTTCTGGATATTGTATCCTTTGGTCTCCTAATACTTTATTCTGTGTTGTTTTCATCTGACTTATTCTCTCTCTCTCTCTTTCTCTCTCTCTCTTCGTTTCTCTCTCTCTCTCTCTCCTTTTCTTTCCTTTTTTTTTTTTTTTTTTTTTTTTCTGAGACAGGGTCTTGCTCAGTCATCCAGGCTGATATAAGCTCACTATAGCCTCAACCACCTGGGCTCAAGCAATCCTCTTGCCTCAGCCTCCCAGGTAGCTGGAACTGAAGGCATGCACCACTGCACCCAGATTATATTTGTTTTTTGTTTTTGTTTTTGTTTTAGAGACAAAGTCTTGCTATATTCTTCAGCCTGGTCTTGAACTTCTGGCCTCAAGCAATCTTCCTGCCTCAACCTCCTGAGTAGCTGGGAGTGGCAACCTCTGTGAGCCACTGCACCTAGCAACTGTCTTTTTCAGTTGTTCTAATCTAAATTTAAATCTATCTTAGTTCTATTATGGTATTTTTTTCAATTCTGTAATTTATATTTGGCTTTTCAAATATGCTGTGTCTCTTTATACTTCCAGTTTTCTGAAATTTTCAGTATTCTTGTCCTTAAGTAAGCACATTTATTTTAAAGTCTTTGTGTATTCATTCCAATATATTGGACCCCTGTAAATCTGTTTATAATGTTGGTTCTTTCATGTTGAATTCTTTTCTCAGATGCCTGGTTATCTTTGAATATATGATGGACATTTTATTTTAAAAATTATAGAAATGTTTTAAGCCTAAGTTGACAATATCTTCCTTCAAAGAAGATTTCAGTTTTCTTCGCCAGGCTTCTAGGAGAACTGACAATCTAAGATTCATCTTAATTGAGTTTTAGAGTGTGAGATTTTTGGGGCCATTGAAAGTGAGTTGCAGTTTATGTGAAGCTTGATCTTTATGCAATTTTCCCTTATTCCTAGAATGAAGCCCTTTAGGTTCTCAGCTGAAAACATGCAGGTTTTAATGCGGACTCCATGCATGGCATGCCCTGGATTCTGTCATTTGTACCTTTATAGCTCCTTTAGATTGTCAGAACCGCCCAGCCTTTTAGCTGCTCTTTTGAATAGACAAACCCTCCCTAATCAAAAGGAGCCCCAGCTACTGATCTCCCCTGTTTGGACTTTTATCCTCTCCAGGATCTTGGCTCAGTAACTTTTCACTATCTTTTTATTGCTTAATTGCCTTCAAGCTGATCATGTTTATATTTTGTCTAGGTAATCTGTTGTCCTGAGAGGAGGATCATCTGAATTACTTAATTACTTAATTCTTAATTACTATAAGTCCCTTATAAAAGTTCTTTATACATTATCATATTAACCTTTGCCTTACATGTTGCAGATACTTTCTCAGTTTCTCACTTGCTTTTTAAAATGAAAATTACATACACACACGCTCTCACACAGACACACTCCTTAGTTTTTATGTATTCAAATTGCTTTGCTTGCTTTTTTGCTTAGAAAGTGTAATCCCAGCCCAAGGTGAGCTAAATATTTATTCCTATTTTCTTATTCTTTTTGTGGTTTTCTTTCTTACATTGAATTATTGAACTTATTTTGGTACATGCTGTTTGCTTAAGATCTGTTTCTACTTTATCATCCAGTGTATGAGACTTGAATCTCTTTTCCCAAAAATTTTGAAATATGGCACCTTTTTCATTTACTAAGTACATATATACATATATATATACACATATATACATATATATACACACACATATATACATATATATACACACACACATATATACATATATATACACACACACATATATACATATACATGATAGGGCCTTTTTATGTATTTTTGGTTTATCCATTGATCTGATCTTGAGAAAATATTGTCTTAACCATTTAATATCTTTTCCATGAAGCTGTCTTTACATAATTTTCTTTCAGCATTTTATTGTTCAATTTAGAGTGATTATTTTCTCAAATGGAGATTGGAGGCATGTTACATTTCTTAAAAGAGTAAAATTTTTTATTGTTTGAAATTTTATAAAACTTGGATATTTGCAAATTGACGTACTCAAAATATTATTTTTTTTCCGGGGGATGGTGTGTTTCTTTATTATGTAAGCCACTTTTAAACAAAAACTCATACTGAAAACTTTAAAATTTTCTGTATGTTTAGAATTTTCTGTGCGAAATTATTTCATGGCATTTTAATATTTTTATTAATATTAGTCGAAGAATATTTTCCATTGTATTTTCTAACTAATCATTTATGGCATAAGGAAAAAGACTGATATTTGTGTGTTTCTGTACTGAACTCTTCTGTTAGGTATAATAGATTGTCAGTGATTTCTTATGGGTTCTCTAGGAGACCATTTTATTATCAGGAAATAATGCTATTTTCCTTCTTACCGTCATTTATATTTCATTGATTTTTATTCTTTCATTGTGTTAGTTGAATAGTCTACAGAAGTGATTAAAAATAAGTGGCCATTGCAGGAATCCTCTTATTATCCCAGACCTCAGAAGGAGATTTTTCTAGGATCTGGCTTTGAGTATTGCGTATCATTGGCATGAGAGATATTCTTTATCGTATTTTCTTAGTTTGCTAGTTTTATTTTGATTTTTCTAATTTCTCTTGTGACTTTCTGTTTGACCCCTGGGCTGTTCAGAATTGTATTGATAACTTTCTAAATATTTGGAGGTTTTTCAGGTATCTTTCTGCTATTTCTAGTTTAATTTTGTTGTGTTCAGGGAACATACTTTCTATGTCCTCTTAACTTTTTTGAACTGCATACTTTGTTTTAAAATTTAAGTAGCCAATAGGCACTGTACCTAGTGCTCCTTGAATATGCATACCCTAGAGATGCCATGGGTTTAGTTCTAGACCACTGCAGTAAAGCAAATACTGCAATAAAGCAGGTTACGTGAATTTTTTTTATTTCCCAGTGCATATCAAAGTTATGTTTACATTATACTGTAATCCGTGTAAGTGTGCAGATGAGCATTGGCTTTCATAGCATTATGTCTAATAAAACAATGAGAATACCTTAATTTAAAAAATATTGCCAAAAATGTGAATGATCATCTGAGTCTTTATCCAGTCATAATCTTTTTGCTGGTAGAGGGTCTTGCCTCGATGCAGATTGCTGCTGACTGATCAGGGTACTGGTGGCTAAAGGTTGGGTGGCTGTTGCTGTGTCCAGAATTGGTGGGTTCTTGGTCTCACTGACTTCAAGAATGAAGCTGCGGACCCTCACGGTGAGTGTTACAGTTCTTAAAGGCATGTGTCCACAGTTTGTTCCTTCTGATGTTCGGATGTGTTCGGAGTTTCTGCCTTCTGGTGGGTTCGTGGTCTCGCTGGCTCAGGAGTGAAGCTGCAGACCTTCGTGGTGAGTGTTACAGCTCATAAAGGCAGTGTGGACCCAAGAGTGAGCAGCAGCAGGATTTGTTGCAAAGAGTGAAAGAACAAAGCTTCCACAGCGTAGAAGGGGACCCGAGCGGGTTGCCACTGCTGGCTCGGGCAGCCTGCTTTTATTCTCTTATCTGGCCCCACCCACATCCTGCTGATTGGTAGAGCTGAGGGGTGTGTTTTGACAGGGCGCTGATTGGTGCGTTTACAATCGCTGAGCTAGACACAAAGGTTCTCCACGTCCCCACCAGATTAGCTAGATACAGAGTGTGGACACAAAGGTTCTCGAAGGCCCCACCAGAGTAGCTAGATACAGAGTGTCAATTGGTGCATTCACAAACCCTGAGCTAGACACAGGGTGCTGATTGGTGTGTTTACAAACCTTGGGCTAGATAAAGAGTGCCTATTGGTATATTTACAATCCCTGAGCTAGACATAAAGTTTCTCCAAGGCCCCACCAGAGTAGCTAGATACAGAGTGTCAATTGGTGCATTCACAAACCCTGAGCTAGACACAGGGTGCTGATTGGTGTGTTTACAAACCTTGAGCTAGATACAGAGTGCCGATTGGTGTATTTACAATCCCTGAGCTAGACATAAAGATTCTCCGCGTCCCCACCAGACTCAGGAGCCCAGCTGGCTTCACCCAGTAGATCCTGCACCAGGACTGCAGGTGGAGCTGCCTGCCAGTCCCGTGCACTGCGCCCGCACTCTTCAGCCCTTGGGTGGTCAATGGGACTGGGCGCCATGGAGCAGGGGGCGGCGCTCATCGGGGAGGCTTGGGCTGCGCAGGAGCCCACGGAGGGGGTGGGAGGCTCAGGCATGGCGGGCTGCAGGTCCCGAGCCCTGCCCCGCAGGAAGGCAGCTAATGCCCGGCGAGAAATCGAGCGCAGCGCTGGTGGGCTGGCACTGCTGGGGGACCCAGTACACCCTCTGCAGCCGCTGGCCTGGGTGCTAAGCCCCTCATTGCCCGGGGCCAGCAGGGCCGGCCGGCTGCTCCGAGTGCGGGGCCCGCCAAGCCCACGCCCACCCGGAGCTCCAGCTGGCCTGCAAGCGCCGCGCGCACCCCCGGTTCCCGCTCGCGCCTCTCCCTCCACACCTCCCTGCAAGCTGAGGGAGCCGGCTCTGGCCTTGGCCAGCCCAGAAAGGGGCTCCCACAGTGCAGCGGTGGGCTGAAGGGCTCCTCAGGTGCCGCCAAAGTGGGAGCCCAGGCAGAGGAGGCGCCGAGAGGGAGCGAGGGCTCTCAGGACTGCCAGCATGCTGTCACCTCTCATTGCCATTTCTTTTTATTTTTTATTTTTATTTTTACTTTTTTTTGAGACAGACTCTCGCTCTGTCGCCCAGGCTGGAGTGCAGCGGCGCGATCTTGGCTTACTGCAAGCTCCGCCTCCCAGGTTCACGCCATTCTCCTGCCTCAGCCTCCCGAGTACCTGGGACTACAGGCGCCTGCCACCACGCCCGGCTAATTTTTTAAATTTTTTTAAATTTTTTGTTAGTAGAGACGGGATTTCACCATGTTAGCCAGGATGGTCTCAATCTCCTGACCTCGTGTTCCGCCCGCCTCAGCCTCCCAAAGTGCTGGGATTACAGGCGTGAGCCACAGGGCCCGGCCGCCATTTCTTAAAGCAGTGAAGTTTGCCACCTTGACTTTTACTTTCATGAAAGATTTCTCTGTAGCATAGGATGGTGTTTGATAGCATTTCACCCAGAGTAAAACTTCTTTCAAAATTGGAGTCAGTCCTCTCAAAGTCTGCCACTGCTTTATCAATTGTGTTTATGTAGTACTCTAAATCCTTTGTTGTCATTTCAGCAGCGTTTACAGCATCTTCACCAGAAATAGATTTCATCTCAAGAAACCACTTTCTTTGCTCGTCCATAGAAGCATCTCCTTATCCATTCAAGCCTTATCGTGAGATTGCAGCAATTCAGTCACATCTTCAAGCTCCACTTTAGTTCTGCTTCTCTTGCTGTTTCCACCACATCTGCGGGGACTTCCTCCACTGAAGTCTTGAATCCCTCAAAGTCATCCTTGAGGACTGGAATCTGCTTCTTCCAAACTCCTGTTAATGTTGCCATTTTGACCTCCTCTCATCAATCATGAATGCTTTTAATGGCATTTAGAATAGTGAATCCTTTCAAGAAGGCTTTCAATTTGCTTTGCCCAGCTCCATCAGAGGAATCACTGTCTATGACAGCTATCACCTTATGAAATGAATTTCTTAAATAGTAAGCCTTGAAAGTAAAAATTACTCCTTGATCCGTGGGCTGAAAAATGGACATTGTATTACCAGGCATGAAAACAACATTCATCTTCTTATACATCTCCATCAGAGCTCTTGAATGACAAGGTTTATTCAATGAGCAGTGATATTTTAAAAGAAATCTATTTTTTCTGAGTAGTCACTCTCAATATTGGGCTTAAAATATTCAGTAAACCATGCTATAAACAGATGTGCTGTCATCCAGGCTTTGTTGTTCCATCTGTACAGCACAGGCAGAGTAGATTTAGCATGATTCTTAAGGGTCTTATGGATTTTCAGAATAGTAGATGAGCGTTTGCTTCAACTTAAAGCCACCAGCTGTATTAGCCCTTAGCAAGAGAGTCAGCCTGTCCTTTGAAGCTTTGAAGCCAGGCATTGACTTCTCTCTAGTATGAAAGCCCTGGATGGCATCTTCTTCCAATAGAAGGCTGGTTTATCTACATAGAAAATCTGTTGTTTTCTGTAGCCACCTTCCTCAGTTATCTTAGCAAAATCTTCTGGATAACTTGCTGCAGCTTCTACATTAACACCTGCTGCTTCACCTTGCCCTTTTATGTCATGGAGATGGCCTCTTTCCTTAAATCTCTTGAGCCAACCTCTGCTAGCTGTCAGCCTTTCTTCTGCAGCTTCCTCACTTGTTTCAGCCTTCATAGCATTGAAGAGAGTTAGGGCCTTTCTCTGGGTTAGGCTTTGGCTTAAGGGATGTTGTGGCTGGTTTCATCTTCTGTCCAAACCACTAAAATTTTCTTCATATCAGCAATAAGACTGTTGTGCTTTTTTGTCGTTCAGGTGTTTCCTGGAGTAGCACTTTTAATTTCCTTCAATAACTTTGCCTTTGCATTCACAACTTGGCTTACTGGCTGGTACAAGCATCCTAGCCTTCAGCCTATCTCAGCTTTCAACACGCCTTCTTCAGTAAGCTTAATCATTTCTAGCTTTTGGCTTAAAGCTAGAGACATGCAACTCTTCCTTTCACTTGAACACTTAGAGGCCCTTGTAGGCTTATTAACTGGCATAATTTTAACATTGTTGTGTCTTGGGTAATAGGCAGGTCCAAGGAGAGGCAGAGAGACGGGAATGGCCAGTTGATGGAGCAGTGAGAACACACACACAACATTTATTAAGTTTACTGTGTTACATGGGCACAATTAATGCAGCCCCAAAATAATTACAACAGTAAAAACAAAGATCACTGATCAAAGATCACCATGACAGATATAATAATAATGCAAAAGTTTGAAGTATTGCAAGAATTAGAAAAAATATGTCACACACCAGAAGTGAGTGCATATGTTTGGAGAAATGGTGCCAAGACAGACTTGCTCCATGCAGAGTTGCCACAAACCCTTAATGCAAAAAGCACAGTATCTGCGAAGCTCAACAAAGCAAGGTATACCTGTATTCATTTTCTTTTGCTGCGTAACAAATTCCTACAAACTTAGCAGTTGACACAGTACTTACTGTCTTGTGGTTCTGTAGGTCAGAAGCCTGACACAGGACCTGGCTATAATGATGATGTCAGCAGGTCTGTCTTCTGGAGGCTCCAGGGGAAATTCTGTTTTCCTGCTTATTCAGGTTACTGGCAGAATTTAGTCCTGTAGCTGTAGTCATCATGTTCTTGTGAGCTGTCAGCTGAAGTCCATTCCCAGCTTTTAGAGGCTACCATGTTCTTTGGACGGGAGCTCTCTTTCTCCGTCTTGAAAGCCAGCAATGGCAGGTCAGGTCTCATTTCCTGTCTCTCTCCTGCCTCTTCAGTTGTTCAATACCTCTGACTTCAGCCCTAAGAGATTCTCCATTGTTATGGGATTGTGTAATTAAATTTGAAAGAGTCCTGCAGTAACCGAGGATAATCTCCCCATCTCAAAATACGTAACCATATCACATTTGCAGCGTCCCCTTTGCCACATTCAGAAACATTTACAGGTTCCAGAGGTTGGGGTGTGGCCATTTTATAGGGCCATTATTTCACCCACCATGCTGCCATATTGGACAGTACAACTTTACACTGTATTATCTTTTAAACGGTGAAATTTTGAAGTGATAAAATTCTTAAAGTTCTTTTTATAATTTTATTATTGTCATTTTCAGAGCTCTTCATTTATATGTATAGATCCACATTTAAGTTTTAACATTTCAGTATAGGCCTGAAGACAACGAATTCTCTCAGCTTTTGTTTTTCTGAAAAAAATCTTGCTATGGCCTTCATTTTTGAAAGCTAAATTATTTCTCAATATGAAATTCTGGGTTGGACAATTTTTTTTTCTTTCAGTAGTGTAAAAATATCACACCATGGTTTCCGTTGAGAAGTCTGCTTTAATTTTTATCTTTTATTCTCTGTGTGTAATGTTTTTCTACCCTCTGGCTGCTTTCAGGATTTTCTCTTTATCTTTGGTTTTCAGCAGTTTGAATATATTGTCTAAATTCTTTTTCTCCCTTTTCTTCTTTTTCTCAGTATTTTTTTTATTCTTTATGCTTATTCTTTCGTATCATATTCTTAATCATCCTAGTTATGGGTTATTTAGGCTTTTTGGATGTATGGTTTGTTGTTTTCATTATTTGGGGAAAATTCTTGGCCATTATTTTTTTCATGTATTTCTACTACCCTGTTTATTCTTCCTTTTCCTGCCGGTTCCTTGTGCTTATGGCGGGGACTGGGACTCTGGGGGCTTTTCTCAGTGCTAGTGCCCCTGCTCAGCTTGCAGCCTCCTGCGCCATAGGCTGGGGGAGTCCCTGCCCACCTCCTCACCGCCCCCCTAGCAGTGGGCTGCTGCTGCTTCCCCCACAGGGCTGGGCTTCTGGATGGGGTGGGGAGGGGAGGGTTGCTCCATCTCCTGGTCCAGCCTCAGTCTTGGCGGTCCCTGTGTTTCCAGCCCCTCCCCCATGGCAAGGGACTGAAATTTTATTGGTGTGGGATTTTGGTCTCAGGACAGTTTCCTGCCTCCCCTGGGGTAGAGGGTGTCCTCCTCTGTTCTTCTCCCGGCTGCAGGGTGTTTCTGTCTGTCCCTGTGGTGACATCTGCTGCCCTTTCCCTATCAGCTTAAAGCCCAAGGCTTTGCTCAGGGGGAGGAAGCTCTCAGGGAGAGTTGGCTTCATGCCTGTCCACTCTGCTTACACGCTTGGGGCACTTCTCTGGCCTCGTCCTGCCCCTCATGTGAGCACCTGGTGCGGGCCCATGTTAAAGAGCCTGTAAGTGAGTGTGGACTCCCTCAGCCCATCCTAATTCAAAGGCAGAAGATACACATGTAAACAGGCAAACAGGGCATTCTAGATTATGACTGTAAAGAAGGGTGGGGTGGGCAGGACAGGGACACCGACCTTAGGTAGAGTGGAGGAACAGCCCAGAGGTAACACTGGTGCGGTGAGTTGAAGGTTGAAAATGACCCTGTCATCTTGAGAGTTGGGTGTAGGGAGGGCTTTTCATGCTGAGGAGATGGCAAGTACAAATCCCAGGGGCAGCAACGAGATGGGGCAGTTCGAGGAGGAGAAAGTTTACCGCAGGCTGAAGCGGAGTGAGTCAGGGGAAATGGTGTAGAGGGAGGTTGGAGAGTTGTGAGTCAGATGTCCCTGCAGTCTTTTGGCCATGTTAAGATGCTTGAATTACATTGCATGAGGAATGGGAAGAACTTGGTGATGATCTGAATGTAGCTTCCTTTTGCTTGCTAAGTGAATTCCAGTCTCTTCTGCTTTGTGTTCAAGGCCTAGAGTAACCTGGTTGTAGAATACCTTTTCCATCCTATCTCCCACTCTACTAATAGATGAACAGCAAGGTTGGCTTCCTGCTCTTAGGTGAGTCTTATGCATTTTCCTGCTCACCTTGTCATGCTGTTCCCTAACTGGAAAGGACTTGTCCCTCTCTGCCTGTCTCTGTAGGCTTTAGTCAGATGTGCTGCTGCCACGAAACTTCTCCCAGGCATTTCCTTACCTCCATCTTCACCAGTTGTTCCCACATCTATGTGGTAGCTTCTTGAGTATACCTGTTTATCACACATTATTTGTTTAATTTGTTTAATTAATTTTTAAATTTGTTTTATTTAATTAATTTTTCTGTCTTGTATCTTTATTCTGGTTCTCTCTGCCAACTTTCACTACCTGTTTATAAACACACTCAACCCTCCCATATCCTAAAGAAGACTTCCCTTGCCCTCCTTTCCCCTGACTCTGACGTCTTGTCTTTCTCTTTTACTTTACAGCCATATCCCCAGGAGAGCGCCTGTATTTGCGGGCCCTGCGCGTCCTCATGCCCTCCTTCACTCCTTACTGGTATATGATAGGGTTTTTACCTCCAGAACCCCGCTGACACTGCTTTCAGAGATAATGATGTCTTCCTAGTCCCAGTGACCACCAAGCCCAGGGACCTCTTGTTAATTTTCATCTGTGTATCTGAATGTGATATTCAACACTATTGGCCACATCTTCCTTTTTAAAAGTTTCTAAACCCCCACTTCCTGGCTGTTCCACTATCACATGTTTTGTCTCATCTTTCTGATTTCCCCTTGTTTCTTTTTGTTTCTAGCTCACCCCTAAGTGTAGGGATTACCCATCCTTCTCATGTCAGACCTCCCCTCTCCACAGCATATTCTCTTTGGCTTATCATTTATGTCCTTTTACAAAAACAGCTCTCACCGCATATTCCCAGATCTGTGCCTCTAGCCCAGACCTCTCTCTAGAGGGAAAAAAAAAGAATGTGCACGTACACTTAATGTATCATAATTTTCATATTGCTGTGTAATCTTTGTAATTATTTTAAATGGATGTATAATGTTATGTTAAGTGGCTGTGCCATAATTAGCCTAACCATTTCCTATTGAAAATTTCTTGTCCTGAATTTCCAGCTACAGTTTACAATTCTGTGCATGTATATTGAGTTTGAGATTGATGCCTGAGTTCAGGGTAGCATTTTAACTCTTGCACAAACTACTGAAAAAAGCCTTCTGAATGGCCTCCTGGTCTGATCTCTTGACCTTCTGGCCGAGCATGATCTCAATTGTTAGAAAACAGGTACTACTTATGTTCCTAAGGCCCAAAAGAGATCTGAAGTTTTTCAGCTGACATGTCTCTGAGTAAATCTGAAAAGAGATTTATTTGGAGGTTCACCTTCAATCAAGACAGGATTTTAAGCACACTCTGAGCTGTGGTTTATCATCCCTACTACTTACCATAAGAATATGCTTTACCACACTTTATTGGCAACTAAGATGCACTCTTGAGCCTTTTAATCTGTTTGCTTTTAATCTGTTACTCTCTAGAAGTAATCCTGAAAAACAGCTGACAGTGATATTTCAAACTCGTTGGTGCTCTTCTTCAAAGAAACATAGAAGCCCTAATAAATAGATTTGTGCCTTGGAAAATAAAGTGTCAGTGACTTCACATAGAACACAGGAATCTTAACTTATACTTCCCCAACTATTCTTTTTTTTTTTTTTTTTTTTTTTTTTTAACAAAGTGGCCCCTGTGGTCTTTCTAAGCTGTTCTTGACTCCCTAACTGATGAAGAGTGCTGGCTTTCCTTTCGAAGCCCAGGTCAGTGGTCTGACAGGGGCAGTGCTGCTGATTTTGGTCCCTCTCCTGAGTGTGCTTTGTATCTGTTATATGAAGTCGTGTTTGGATTTTTGATGTGTTGATACCTCAGAGTTTCTGCTTGATTTTCAGTCATTACCGGTAGCACACTGACAAGTGGGAGAATACAGTTTTCAGTGGCTGCCTGACTCCTATTTTGAATCTTTCTCTTCCCTTCCCAATCTGACTGTAAGTTCTCCCTGTGTAAGGAGAGAGGGTTGTGTTTCAATGCTGGTGTACACCAAGTATGTCTAAACTTAGTAATGGTAAAAACAAACATGCAAAATGACAACATTTCTGGAATCAGGGTGGTGAATAGAAGCCAGTGTACTTCCTCTGAGGCAGAGGCTCGCGGGGGGTGCTGGTTGGTGGGGTTGGTGGGGAGTGATCACATTGCATAAGCTCCATGTGAATCCTTGGGCTGCCTTCTACTGCTTGGTCTTTCTCTTTGTGTCCTCTAATGTATTTTATATTTAATTCACCTTAACAACAAATTGCCTTTAAAATGATGGAAAAGCACAAGTGCTAATGGTGAACAGCTGTCTCCTCCTTCTCTTCATACCAATTTTATTTCTGCTTTGAAGCACTATGGTCTATGCATCCTCTTGACTATGTTGTAGATATAGCCACAAGGTTTGATGATTGTGCTCTTTTCTATAGATAAGAGGACAAGAGAAAATAACTCCAGTCACTCTTTAATAGATAGATTTAAAATTAATCAAGATGAGGGTAAGTTTAAAAAACTATTCCAGGTATTTCATTATCTGAAAACCCAAGGGTCTGCTGCCTTCCACTCTAGGGCCTTGGTTCTCGAGAGAAGGTATTTGTCTATAATTCCTAGCCTGATGGTTTAGCTGCCCACTCTGAGCTGTTCAGCCCCAGATCTTGAGAATCAAGGGGTGGAGAGTGAAAAATGTATGGAGAGGCAGGCACCTTGCTTTCACTTCCACCTCTAAAATGATAGTGCAGTATTCTTCTCACATATGCCTGCCATCGTCCTTCTGTTTGCATCTCTCACATCCCCTCCACTAGCCTCTCCCCTCCTTACAATAAAAAAAAAAGTCCTTGAATTTAGACTGATCCAAGGTCCAGGGTCATCTCACTACCTCCTCCCCTCCCAAGCACCAGTGGTAGAGTGGGCTTTATCCCTTGAACAAGGACAGTGAACCTGTTAAAGAAAGAAGATCCAACAAAATCCAGAAGAATGAACACAACTCAAAAAAGACTGTCAGGAGTATGTTCTCAGCTGAGTGCTGAGTGAGATCACCATTCCCCATGATCTCAGGCAGTAGAAGAGCCTTGAGAATGTGGAAGACAGGCCCAAATTCTGCCTTAAAGGAAATATTACTCCAGAAACACAAGTGTTTTTAAGTGCAGAACTAAAGATCATAAATGTATTTAAGCAAGAGTTCAAACTTAATATGAGACAATAAAATGAGATGAAATGGGAAATATGGAACTAAGGGAATAAAATGAGAACAAAATACTATCAGTCCAAAACTAATGAATAAATATGAAACAGTAAAGAATTTAATGGTGTGACAATTCAGTTGTCAACATAAGAGAAAAGCTTTAGAAAATTGTAGAGAAAACAAAAGGTAAAAACCTTTTCCCTAAATAAAAGAACTTTATTCCAAAAAAAGTTGACCAGAAAACGTATATGAAGATATCATAGAAGAAAAGTTTTCTGAGGTGTAAACCAAATTGCCAGAAAACAAGGGAGTATGCAAAGTTTTGAAGGGAATAGCACCAGTCAAGTGTTAAAATTAAATAGATAACTAAGTATAAACAACGATACAGATAAAATGTAAGTGTTATAAGCTTTGACAAATGAGAGAGGAGGTCATCTATATGTAAAATCAAAACGTGTAGTTCAAAAGTTCCATTTAACATATGTGTTTTTCCAATTCTTAACTCCCAGTAGATTTATAGAAAATAGTTTCTCTTATAAAGAAATATGGATCTTAAGTTTAGCAATTCCTTTATCTTAACTTCAATGTCATTTTCTTTTAAGTACAAGGTTACAGTTTTTGTTGTTGTTGTTTAAATCACATACAGTATTTCTGGGTTGAAATTTTGCATTTTTCTTTGGAGTATAAGACATTATTTAATTTTGAATAACATAACTTTATCTAAAAATAAAAGTTTATCTTAAAATGTTTGTGAAGCAGAGCAAAACAGGCATACCTACCCTGTCCAAGACTCTGGTTGAATAGGTCCTGGATGGGGCCTGACATGGGTAGATTATTTTTAAGTCCATGGTGTTTCAGCTCTGCTAGCTTCTCATCCAAGTGGTTTCTCATCTCTGTTTTTGTATTTATTTTAATAGCCTCCTGGCTTTCACCTTTATGATACCCACATCTAGCTTTTGGAAGTGGATAGAGAGACTACTCAGCCCAGGTTGATGAGCATCATTTTTCACTTTGCCTACTTGCCTGATAGAGTTAATGAGAGTCAAAAAGTGCATCACTGACTTTCTTACATTCATCTTAATAAGGGAAAACCAGTGGGAAAACATCATTTCATGAGTGAGTGGATTGGAGAATAAAAAAATGTTTGTTCAACATTTTGTAAAAGTGAATAATACTGATACTTTTTTCTATTGTTCTTTAGCTCAAATATTTTAGTTATGAGACCCCCTTTTGTTTTTTTTTTTATTATGGTGGGTAAATATATCTTTAATGGAATAGTATGCATTTTTTTCATTAAACTATGATATGAGAGCATATAAACTGATGTCACAATATTACTAGAATATTTCTAATGTAAATTTTATTCTCAATAAGTAGTTATTACAGTGTAGACATTTTGGTCTAATATGAATTTCAAATATGTACGTTGCAACAGCTATTTGAAAATAGTGGAGAATTAAGTAGTTGGCTTTCTACAAATAGAGTAATATACGATTGAATATTTTTTGTTCATATGCCCAACAATCCAACAAATGGAAACCAAAGTAAATCATGGCAAGTAATTATTGCTCAAAAATACAGTAGTTGATAGATTGTGGGCACTGTCACTTAAATACTGATTTATTTCCAACACAACTAGAAATTAAGGTGATTTCATTTCTCTTGCAATAAGTTTTACCTTCTTTCTGCCTATCTCCCTACCTGCCTACCTGCCCTACCTATTGCTAATGACAAAGAAACATAGCCATTGAATATTTTGTTGAGTTAAAGTGGTGATTTTTTTTAAACCAAGGCCCATTACAACCTTATGACTTTTTAATTTTGTTGGTAAGAAACCACAAATAAGTGGATTATTTTAGTTTCATAATTTTCTGTTCATTGATATAATTGCTACATCAGCAATACTTCATGGCTGTCCTGACTATGGTCTGCTCTAGAAATTATATTAGCAGCCCCTTTTCTCCTGAAAATATCAGTTTTGCATACTTAGAAATTTGCTGAAAAGTTTGTTTTAAAAGAACCTTAATGAGATAAGACAGTCAAATACTCAGCATTAAAGGGTTGAATTTTCTTCTTTTTGGCCAGCCTTCTCAGACTGTTGTGTAGACAGAGTCCTCAGGTATTGCTACCAAGCCAATCTAGGTCCATTTGTCTGCACACAATGAAAAGCCAAACACTGAATCACTGGATTTTTATAGAGAGAAAGATTAATGGCAAGGCAGCCATGCAGGAGATGGGCTCAATTCTGTCTTCCCTTACCAGCTTAAAGCAGTATATAAAAGGAGGAGATGCTGGAGGAGGAGTTTTGGGGTTGGTTAATGATTGTTGGAAAGGGAGGGGAGGTTTGGAAAGTCCCTTGAGCAGGCACAGTTGTCTCTTCGTGCTTCCTCATGGGTTGCCTTTGCAAATTCGGAGGGAGTTGGTGTGAAACCTGTGGTGAAAATACTGGCTTTGATATCAGAAAGTCCCTCATCTGGCAAGAAGTCTATTCTGTGCAGATCCCAATCAGCCATACCAGTTCCAACCAGCTTCAACCAGTCAACCAGTTTTGTTACAAGCAGAGGGAGTTCTAACAAGCTGTTTCTTTATCTGCAGTGCTGTAAGACAAGCTCAAAACTTCTTGTTAGTTACCAGTTTCTTTAACCCCATGGAGCACTGTTTAAGTATGATAGTGAAAAGGGGAAAGATAATTCAGTTTTGAAAGATCTAGTTCCAGGATGTTGATTATTCAAGAAAGGAACATAAGCATTCTAGAAATGCACACTTAGGTCTTTGAATGAGTGTTTCAATAGATTTTGATTGGCATCATTGTTCAATTTCCGGAATGCAGAAGTGCAATTTTATTTAAAAAATAGACTTTCCTTAAATACTTTCTTCACTTGTCATAATGTCCTTATGATAGTAATCTTAATTTTCAAAAAATTATAGTTGGTGTATGTACAATGTTACCAATTGTTTGTTGTTGTTGTTGTTTTTTCCAGAAATCTTACAGGCTGGTGTTAAAGGAACTTCGGAATCCCTTAAAGGTGTGAAACGCAAAAAGATCGTAGCTGAGAATCACCTGAAAAAAATACCAAAATCCCCACTGAGAAATCCTCTTCAGGCAAAACATAAACAAAATACAGAAGAGTCATCTTTCGCCGTTCTTCATAGTGCTTCGGAGTCTCACAAGAAACAGAATTATATTCCTGTAAAAAATGGGAAGCAGTTTACCAAACAAAATGGAGAAACACCTGGAATAATTGCTGAAGCCTCAAAATCTGAAGAATCTGTCTCCCCAAAGAAGCCCTTGTTTCTGCAGCAACCATCTGAACTGCGTAGATGGAGATCCGAAGGCGCTGATCCTGCCAAATTCAGTGACCTCGATGAACAATGTGACTCAAGTTCCTTGTCAAGTAAAACCAGGACTGACAATAGCGAATGCATCTCTTCTCATTGTGGCACTACGTCCCCCTCCTATACAAACACTGCATTCGATGTCTTACTGAAAGCAATGGAGCCAGAACTGAGCACCTTGTCACAAAAGGGCTCACCTTGTGCAATTAAGACAGAAAAACTGAGGCCAAATAAAACTGCACGTTCCCCTCCCAAATTAAAAAACAGTTCAATGGATGCCCCAAATCAGACTTCACAGGAATTGGTTGCTGAATCACAGTCTTCTTGTACCTCATACACAGTCCATATGTCTGCTGCTCAGAAGAATGAGCAAGGGGCAATGCAGTCAGCTTCTCATTTGTATCATCAACATGAACACTTTGTTCCCAAATCCAACCAACATAATCAACAGCTTCCGGGGTGTTCAGGTTTCACAGGATCACTGACAAATCTGCAAAATCAAGAGAATGCCAAACTTGAACAGGTTTATAATATAGCAGTGACATCATCTGTAGGCCTAACTTCACCTTCCAGTAGATCTCAGGTTACTCCTCAAAACCAGCAAATGGATTCTGCTTCACCTTTGTCAATAAGTCCGGCTAATTCTACACAGTCGCCCCCCATGCCAATCTATAATTCAACTCATGTTGCCTCTGTTGTTAATCAAAGCGTAGAGCAAATGTGCAATCTTCTTCTGAAAGATCAGAAGCCAAAAAAACAAGGAAAATATATTTGTGAGTATTGCAATAGAGCATGTGCAAAGCCTAGTGTGCTTTTAAAGCATATCCGCTCCCACACTGGAGAGCGACCCTATCCCTGTGTGACTTGTGGATTTTCATTTAAGACTAAAAGTAATCTGTATAAGCACAAGAAATCCCACGCACATACTATCAAACTGGGTCTTGTCTTGCAACCAGATGCTGGTGGCTTGTTCTTGTCCCACGAGTCCCCCAAAGCACTTAGTATTCATTCAGACGTAGAAGACAGTGGGGAGAGCGAGGAGGAAGGCGCCACTGATGAGAGACAGCATGACCTGGGCGCCATGGAGCTGCAGCCTGTGCACATAATAAAGAGGATGTCAAATGCTGAAACTTTACTAAAATCAAGCTTCACTCCAAGCAGTCCAGAAAATGTGATAGGTGACTTTTTGCTACAGGACAGATCTGCAGAATCACAAGCTGTGACAGAGTTACCGAAAGTTGTGGTCCACCATGTCACTGTGTCCCCCTTAAGAACTGACAGTCCAAAGGCCATGGATCCCAAGCCTGAACTTTCTAGTGCACAAAAGCAGAAGGACCTTCAGGTGACAAACGTACAGCCACTTTCAGCCAACATGTCCCAGGGTGGAGTCTCCAGGTTGGAGACTAATGAGAATTCCCACCAGAAAGGCGACATGAATCCACTGGAAGGAAAGCAAGACTCTCACGTAGGAACGGTACACGCCCAGCTACAAAGGCAGCAGGCTACCGATTACTCCCAAGAGCAGCAAGGAAAGCTCCTGAGTCCTCGAAGTTTAGGAAGTACGGATTCTGGTTACTTTTCACGTTCTGAAAGTGCCGATCAAACAGTGAGTCCACCAACTCCCTTTGCCAGAAGGTTACCCAGCACAGAACAAGACTCTGGAAGGAGTAACGGACCCTCTGCAGCTCTTGTCACCACGTCAACACCCTCTGCTTTGCCCACAGGGGAAAAGGCATTGCTTTTACCAGGTCAGATGCGCCCACCTTTGGCCACAAAAACACTTGAGGAGCGGATATCGAAGCTTATCTCAGACAATGAAGCTTTGGTAGATGACAAGCAACTGGATAGTGTGAAGCCGCGGAGAACCTCACTGTCAAGACGAGGAAGCATTGATTCCCCCAAATCATACATATTTAAAGATTCTTTCCAGTTTGATTTAAAACCAGTGGGACGGAGAACAAGTTCAAGCTCTGATATACCGAAGTCACCTTTCACCCCTACTGAAAAATCAAAGCAAGTGTTTCTTCTGTCTGTACCTTCACTTGACTGTTTACCTATCACAAGAAGTAATTCCATGCCGACCACAGGTTATTCAGCAGTACCTGCAAATATAATACCTCCTCCTCATCCACTAAGAGGAAGTCAGTCATTTGATGACAAAATTGGCGCTTTCTATGATGATGTCTTTGTATCGGGACCTAACGCTCCTGTGCCCCAGAGTGGGCATCCCCGTACACTTGTGAGACAAGCAGCCATAGAAGACTCTTCAGCAAATGAAAGTCATGTTCTTGGTACTGGACAGTCCCTGGATGAGAGCCACCAAGGATGCCATGCTGCTGGTGAAGCCATGTCAGTGAGGAGCAAGGCACTGGCACAAGGCCCACATATAGAAAAAAAGAAGTCTCATCAAGGGCGAGGGACAATGTTTGAGTGTGAAACTTGTAGAAACAGGTATAGGAAACTGGAAAATTTTGAAAATCATAAGAAATTTTACTGTTCTGAGTTACATGGACCAAAAACAAAGGTAGCCATGAGAGAACCTGAGCACAGCCCTGTGCCCGGCGGTCTGCAGCCTCAGATTCTACACTACAGAGTCGCTGGGTCCTCCGGCATCTGGGAACAGACGCCCCAGATAAGAAAAAGGAGGAAAATGAAAAGTGTTGGGGATGATGAAGAACTTCAGCAAAATGAAAGTGGAACATCTCCAAAAAGTTCTGAAGGCCTTCAGTTTCAGAATGCTCTGGGCTGTAATCCCAGTTTGCCTAAACATAATGTTACCATAAGAAGTGACCAGCAGCATAAAAATATACAGTTGCAAAACTCCCATATTCACCTTGTTGCCAGGGGCCCTGAGCAGACCATGGATCCCAAGCTGTCGACCATCATGGAACAACAGATAAGTTCAGCAGCCCAGGACAAGATAGAACTGCAGAGACACGGAACTGGAATCTCTGTCATCCAGCACACCAACTCCCTGAGCAGGCCCAACTCATTTGACAAGCCTGAGCCTTTTGAAAGAGCCTCCCCAGTTTCTTTCCAGGAGCTGAATAGAACGGGGAAGTCCGGGTCTCTAAAAGTGATAGGAATCTCCCAAGAGGAAAGTCACCCTTCTCGGGACGGGTCTCATCCTCACCAGCTTGCACTATCAGACGCTCTCAGAGGAGAACTTCAGGAAAGCTCCAGAAAGAGTCCAAGTGAACGACATGTGTTAGGACAGCCCTCAAGACTTGTCCGGCAGCACAACATCCAAGTTCCAGAGATTTTGGTCACAGAAGAACCAGATCGAGACCTGGAAGCTCAATGCCATGATCAAGAAAAGTCAGAGAAGTTCAGTTGGCCCCAGCGTAGTGAAACCTTGTCAAAATTGCCAACAGAGAAACTGCCACCCAAAAAGAAAAGGCTCCGTCTGGCTGAGATAGAACATTCCTCAACAGAATCGAGCTTTGATTCCACTCTCTCCAGGAGTCTAAGTAGGGAGAGCAGTTTATCTCACACTTCAAGTTTCTCAGCCTCTTTAGACATAGAGGACGTTTCTAAAACGGAGGCTTCCCCCAAAATCGATTTTCTAAATAAAGCCGAGTTTCTTATGATTCCAGCTGGCTTGAATACTCTGAATGTTCCTGGATGTCACCGGGAAATGAGGCGTACTGCATCAGAACAGATTAATTGCACGCAAACGTCAATGGAGGTCTCTGATCTCAGAAGCAAATCATTCGATTGTGGAAGCATCACCCCACCCCAGACAACACCACTTACTGAATTGCAGCCTCCATCTTCACCTTCTCGAGTGGGAGTGACTGGGCATGTGCCTCTCTTAGAAAGAAGGAGAGGCCCACTGGTACGGCAAATATCTTTAAACATAGCCCCAGATAGTCATCTGTCTCCTGTACACCCAACATCTTTCCAAAATACTGCTCTTCCCAGTGTGAATGCAGTGCCATATCAGGGGCCTCAGCTCACTAGTACATCTTTAGCTGAGTTTTCTGCAAATACTTTGCACTCTCAGACTCAGGTTAAGGATCTGCAGGCAGAAACATCAAACTCCAGCTCTACCAACGTTTTTCCTGTTCAACAGCTCTGTGATATCAATTTGTTAAATCAAATCCATGCACCGCCTAGCCACCAGAGCACACAGCTATCTCTGCAAGTGTCTACGCAGGGTAGCAAGCCAGATAAAAATTCTGTTTTATCTGGGTCTTCTAAAAGTGAGGATTGCTTTGCTCCCAAATACCAATTGCATTGTCAGGTTTTCACTTCAGGCCCATCTTGCTCTTCTAATCCTGTGCATTCTTTGCCAAATCAAGTTATTTCAGATCCAGTTGGAACAGATCATTGTGTGACATCAGCAACATTACCAACCAAATTAATTGACAGCATGTCTAATTCGCATCCTCTGCTACCACCAGAGCTCAGGCCCCTTGGAAGTCAGGTGCAGAAGGTGCCATCATCATTCATGCTGCCCATACGCCTGCAGAGTAGTGTTCCTGCTTACTGTTTTGCTACACTCACATCCCTGCCACAAATACTAGTGACCCAAGATCTGCCCAATCAGCCAATTTGCCAGACTAATCATAGTGTAGTGCCAATCAGTGAAGAACAAAATTCTGTGCCAACATTACAAAAAGGTCATCAGAATGCTTTGCCAAACCCAGAGAAGGAATTTCTATGTGAAAATGTTTTTTCAGAGATGAGCCAAAATTCTTCTCTATCAGAATCCTTGCCCATAACTCAGAAAATATCTGTTGGTCGACTTTCCCCTCAACAAGAATCTTCAGCTTCGAGTAAAAGGATGCTTTCCCCAGCAAATAGTTTAGACATTGCCATGGAAAAGCACCAGAAGCGGGCCAAAGATGAAAATGGAGCTGTTTGTGCAACAGACGTGAGACCTTTAGAGGCTTTGAGTTCGAGAGTTAATGAAGCTAGTAAACAGAAGAAGCCTATTTTAGTGAGACAGGTTTGTACTACAGAGCCCCTGGACGGTGTGATGTTGGAAAAGGATGTTTTTTCTCAACCTGAAATTAGTAATGAGGCTGTTAATTTGACAAATGTTTTACCAGCTGATAATTCATCAACAGGATGCTCTAAATTTGTCGTTATAGAACCTATAAGTGAATTGCAGGAATTTGAAAACATCAAGTCATCCACATCATTAACTCTTACAGTTCGAAGTTCACCTGCTCCTTCAGAAAATACTCATATTTCTCCTTTGAAATGTACAGACAATAACCAAGAAAGGAAGTCTCCAGGGGTTAAAAATCAAGGTGACAAAGTGAACATCCAAGAGCAAAGTCAACAGCCAGTCACTTCTCTTTCATTGTTTAACATCAAGGACACCCAGCAGCTGGCTTTCCCTAGCCTGAAAACTACAACCAACTTTACATGGTGTTATCTCTTAAGGCAGAAGTCGTTGCATTTGCCTCAGAAGGACCAGAAAACTTCAGCCTATACTGATTGGACAGTAAGCGCCAGTAATCCAAATCCACTCGGTTTGCCCACAAAAGTTGCACTTGCTCTCCTTAATTCAAAACAGAACACTGGAAAATCACTATACTGTCAAGCAATAACTACCCATTCCAAGTCAGACTTATTGGTCTATTCAAGCAAGTGGAAAAGCAGCTTAAGCAAGGTACTTGAAATATAATTTATCTTCAGATATGGTTTGCGCAAATTTGTTTCCATGTGTCTTGATACCTTTAAATATTTTAACTGGAAATATTTTAATTTTGAGTGACAAATTGTGCTGTAAATGTCTTATTTGAAAGACAGGGTGATATATTTACCCCAGGAGTTACATTGATAAGAGTTACCAAGAGTCTTGCAGTGATTCTATCTTGAAAGATTTTAGAAATGATTTACCCTGAGCACTTTTCTTTTTCTCAGCTAACTATATAAGTCTTTACTTAGTAGTACAGATGATCATGGTTTTACTTTGATGTTTTACTTATATTGAGGTTTTGTTTTTCTTGTTAAGTGAAAGGAAATCATGGTTATGCTTTGTTCCTCCTCATGCAGGGAAACAGGTGTAGATAATCAAAGATAGTTGTATTTCATCCTGAAATATAAGCAGAAAGCCATTTAGACTTGTCTTGAGCTTACTAGCTACACGCCCCTGTCATGCTATGTAGCTGTCTTCCAGTGTAGCTGTGAGAACCATTAGCACTAGAGAGAAGTTTCACAAAATAATTCATATACTTGGTAAGTTGATTTGGTCAAGATTTATAAAGTAATTTAAGGTCATGAAACTGTAACTTGGGGTAATTTGTGGAATCAGTCTCATTAGAATTATCAGCTTTATAAAATGGGAAAAAGTCATTTACTTGATTAGAATAATAGGTAAGCATATCACGTTCGACTCTGCATATTCAGAAGTATTTGGCCTCTGCAGATTCATAAGCATGCAACACAGGTTAATAAACATTTACAAATCTGTCAGTAGGAAAATACTGCAGTATCAGTATTACCATAGAATTATGAACAATTCTAAAGAAGGAAGTTTCTAACATTACTGGTAGGTGGAAGAGAGAAGAATTCAGCAAACATACTCCAAAGGTGGTGATACTTTAGCTAACTGTTCAAATTTTTTTTAAAAAAATAGGGATTTTTCAGGCAAAGAAGAAGCAGCTTTTTTTTTCGAGACAGAATCTCACTCTGTCACCCAGGCTGGAGTGCAATGGTGCGCTCTTGGCTCATTGCATCCTCCCCTCCCGGGTTCAAGCAACCCTCCTGTCTCAGCCTCCTGAGTAGCTGGGATTACAGGTGCCCACCACCACGCCTGGCTTTTTGTATTTTTGGTAGAGACAGAGTTTCGCCATGTCTGGTTTGGCCAAGCTGGTCTTGAACTCCTGACCTCAGATGATTCACCCATCTTGGCCTCCCAAAGTGCTGGGATTACAGGTGTGAGCCACCGCGCCCAGCAAGAATAAAAAAAAAAATTAATAATACACGAAATGACATGGAAATGAGAATAAACTTGGTTCATTTAAAGAACTCTGAAGAGTCTGGCCTGGTTAAAAAGAGTTATAATTTGGAAACATAGGTAAAAATCAAATCATGTGTATGGTGGTGGAGAACCAATGATACTTTCTCAGTGAAGGAAAGTGCATCCAAACCACCTGTGGAATTTGTTAAGTTCTCAGGCTCTAAATCTACTAAATCTTGGAAGTTAAGACCTAATAGTTAGAATTTAAACAAAACTCCGTGTATGTTCCTGAAGTGTTTGTGGAGAAGAGAAGTGGCTCTCCTTGAGTACCAAATGCCTTGGAAGAAATGTCTGGAAATGCATATCTAGATTTGGAGCTTAGGAGAGAGCTCTGGATGGAAGTGTGTAGAGTAGAGATTCTTTTGTGTAGAGTAGAGATTCTTTAGTGCATAGGTGTGATTAATGAGATTGCTCAGGGTATAAAGAAGAGGAGAGAGCCTAGACTGGATACTGGGGATCACTACTATTTAAAAAGTTGAATGGTTGAAGAAAGTCCACACTCCTGTATGGAAACTGAAAGAGTTTGATCATAGAGGAAGGATAAGAATGAGCAGAAAGTGGCATCACACAAAACACAGAAGAAGATATTCAAGGAGAGTTGTTAGGTCAAATAAAGTTGAAGGCAAATGGGTATATCTGGACTGCGCAGATCACTGGAGAGTTGAGTCTATGAGCAAGTGGCTATGGAGCATGGATTACTGGGCTTTTATCCACAACTCAAATGTTAATGCATTTATGATTCACAATGGGAAAGAACAGATAGATGCTATAAAGTAAAAGGATTTCTAGGCAAAACATGGCATTTTCAACATACAATACATAGAGTGCTCAAGCATGTAAAGACTAAGATTTTGGCATTTAGCTCATTGATAACTTTGGCAAGTAGAAGCCAGATTTAATAGTACGAAAGTGAGCAAAAGATAAAGGGGAATTTGATATTGAAAATAAAGAGGATTACTGTTAAAGGGATAAAGTCAAAGGAAGGTGTGTGCATATATTCTAAATTATGCGGAAGCCAATCTGTTTGCCAGGAAAAGAGAAGGAAAGGTTGCATCAGTAGCTCTTCCCTCTGCCTTTTTGAGGAACATGGGCCAGCAGCTTTTCTTTCCTCCTGCCTGTGTAAGGATGGGCCTCCCAAGGTACTATTCTGAGGCCACACATACCCCTCTCCATAATGAACAGACTCTTATCTCTTAGTATTATTAAGTCATTTCAGCACCACAGCTGTCTGCTTGACAATGTAATTTCTTAAAGGAGGTTTGTATAAAAGAAGCCCTTGGTAGGAAAAGTTGTGCGTTGCGTTGGATTCAGCCAGAGGATTAGAGTTTGAGCCTTTACTTAACACTTGACCTGGGACAAGGAACTTCACCCTGAGAGCGTCCTTCCTCACTGGGATATATAGTCCACCTGTGCTGCCTGCCTCACAGGGACCTGAGAGAATGGAATGGCACTATAAGTGAGACAACATACTATCAAATGGGTAGTAGCATAAAATCTTACATAAAATCATAAGGTGGTATTATATTATTATATTGTTCCTATAGGAAAACCACACATCGTTTATCATTTTGATTTTGACGTTCGTTACCTTTTTTCCAGAGACTTAATTGTTACCAAGCCAAAACCTAACTTTTTGGCTAGACCTGGATGCCACATTTATCAGTATTCAGTAAACTTTTGAGAAGATAGAAAGAATTATGGTTTTAGCTGGGCATGGTGGCTCATGCCTGTAATCCCAGCACTTTGGGTGGCTGAGGTGGGAGGATCACTTGAGGTCAGGAGTATAAGACTGGTCGGTGCAACAGAGCAAGACCCCCATTTCTATAAAATTTTAAAGGTAGCCAGGTGTGGTGGCTCAGGCCTGTGGTCCTAGCTACTCAGGAGGCTGAGGTGGGAGGACCTCTTGAGCCCAGGAGTTTGAGGCTGCAGTGAGCTATGATTGTACTACTGCACTCCAGCCTGGGCAATAGTAAGACCCCATGTCAAAAAAGATTTATGATTTAAAATAATGGAGGAAGAAAAAGTAAAATATTGGGAAATGGGGCTTCTGCTTTACCTTATAATGCACTGAAGCTGAAGGAGACTTAATGATGTTTCTAATGGGTATGAGGCATTATTTTACCAAAAGGAGTAGCTAGCTCTTTTCCATCTCCAAAAGTAAACTCTTTAAGAAATGTACTTAAATGGTAGTATGAGTGGCTGGTTAAATGGAAGAAAAAATATTTAGTCTACTAAAAAAAGTTTCTGTTAAACTTAAGAAATACCATGGTATAGGAGGTTGTAAAGCCTTTATTTGGGGGTGTCAGTGAACTGTGGTGGAATTTTAAATTAACATAAGATTTATCAGTTTGCTGTGATTGAGACAGATTCATAAGGGAGGAGATAAAGTAAATGCCCTTTGAACCTATTACTACTTTGAAATGCATTTCGTTGACCATATGCTCTGTACTCTGCCATGTTTTAATTTCCAGTGAAAGATTAGCATGCTTGTGTTTTCAGTTTTATTAAATTAGTTTCTCTCTTTTTTCCTTTCAGAGAGCATTAGGTAATCAAAAGTCCACAGTAGTTGAATTCAGCAATAAAGATGCCTCTGAAATTAACAGTGAGCAAGATAAAGAAAATTCCTTAATCAAAAGTGAACCAAGAAGAATTAAAATATTTGATGGAGGGCAAGTACAAATTTTACTTCTTAAATGTACATTTAAACTGACTTTTTAAATGTACATTTGCTTTCATGTGAATGAAGACTTAGTGCCAATTTAGTATCGATGTTGCAAGGTTTCTCAGCATATTAACAGAATCTCCATAGCAAAATATGTTAACATTATGTTAAATCATTTTATTTTGATGGAGAAATGATGACTATTTGGGAAATACTGTACAACCTTGAAGGCAGCTAAAAACTAAATTATTAGAGTGAACCTTGGTTTTCACATTGATTTACAGTAAGGAATGACCTAGAGAATCTGCTCTCAGATGAATTCATTGCCCATTAGATATCTTTGTGTATTTTGTTGTGAACAAAAACATCATAAAAGCCAATTATAGTTATAGTAAAGCTCCAAAATATTTCAGTACTTAAAATTATTGTGGTTGAATTTAGCAAAGAAGAACAAATTTTAACCAATGACTTGGAAACAGGGAAGTATTTTAAAATTACATGCAGTAGTGCAGCGCAGTGGTGCGCGCCTGTAGTCCCAGCTGTTCGGGAGGCTGAGGCGGGAGGATCATGTGAGCCCGGGAGGTTGAGGCTTCATTGAGCTACAATCACACCACTGGGCTCCAGCCTGGGCAATGGAGCAAGACTGTCTCTAAAAAAAAAACAAAACAAAATATAATATTGCAAAAGTTTGTTTGATTAGAATTAGCTATATTAAGTGTTGATGTAAAAAGCTGGAATATTCTGTTACACATGCATAAAATTGTTATTGGTTGAGTATAAAAGTTGTGCCTTGTTTTATCTTTGGGTTGAATTTTAATCATCAATATTTTCTCAGAGGCATAGTGTCCAATCTCCCTATTCATTTTTTTTCTTTAAATTAGATATAAGTCAAATGAAGAGTATGTATATGTCCGAGGCAGGGGAAGAGGAAAATACATTTGTGAAGAATGTGGAATACGTTGTAAGAAACCTAGCATGTTAAAGAAACACATACGAACCCATACAGATGTCCGCCCCTACCACTGCACTTACTGTAACTTCTCCTTTAAGACTAAAGGTATGAGATGCACATTGCTTCAAGGTCCTTTTAATATGTATTTAGGTGGGAAAGCTAAAACCCAACTGTGCGTTTTCTTTGACCGATGAAATAGCAGCTTAAATAGACTAATGTCAATTACATCTTGTCAATGTTGTAGTCTTATTACTTTATATGATTTTAGACCCATTGGGAAAAGTTTTTAATTGTACACTTTTAGAATAAATATATAATAAATATAATATTTTTAAAAGAGCAACTGCCCTTTTTAAAAAACTTAACTCCTTAAATTGCAGTTGTACAACATGATGACTAATATACCTTTTCAAGAATATTTAATTTGGGGCTGAAGAATAAAAAGAAATTTTCATGATCACAAGTAAATTCGCTGGGTGCTAAAAGATTGAAGAAAGATTTAAAATAATAACTACAGTAAACTTCTATAATAATTACACTTCTGTTTTATTGTCTGATTTTAGGAATACATAGCCATTTTTTTTCACAATGCTTTTTTTTACATAAATACTGTTAAATTTTAGCTTCAAAAATTTTCTATAGTTTCTATTAATGTTTATAAAGAAGTCTCAGAACTAATCATTAAAATTATATTTAGGACCCTTTCTGGTTTTTTAAATATGTTTTTATTTATAAGCCTCACTCATAGTTAATTTTGCCCTGTACAAGTTTCTTGATACATATAATAGGTATACTACTTTAAATGTTTGCTTCCTCCGTCAGGCTCCTTATTCATGAACAATTTATTACTTGAGATTTTAATTTTATATGCCACTCTCTAAAAACCAAAGATCTCTCTTTAACAAAGCAAGGTAATCGTGAAAACATGTCTGAGAAAACAGTAAAAAAAAAAAAAAAAAAAAAAAAAATTAATTGATTTTTAAAAATAGAAACAACTTTTATCCTTTGAGTTAACATTTACTTTTTTCTTATGCTGGTTGTCTTTGCAGTTTTTGTTTTAAAGATTGATCAACTTCTTAGCAAAATTTATTACATTTTTTGGCTAGTATTTATGGGCATTTAAAGAGAGTTATAACTTGTAACAACTACATGCTTCAAATTAGTACTCTTTAAGTGCCAGTGGTGTCTGAAACAAGAATGATGGAAAAACAAAATATTCTTCATATGGCTTTGAATATTTCAAAAAAGTTTCAAGAAATGAGAGAGGTTGGGAGGGATACTCAGGATGCAGTTTTTTAATTGTGATGTAGAACCTCCCTCTGTCATTGGAGGGTGAGTTTAAGGATGATTTTCCTTCCTGGTCCTGAGGGAGGACTCTGATAGGGTAAAGTACTTTGGTCTTTTAACTGAATTTATTGCTTTTTCACTCATTTTGATCCTATGATTAAGAAACATCTATTAGCTTCCTTTATGAGACAAGAAGCATATTTAGAAAGCTAATATTACTAATAAAAGATTATCATGTACAAAAGGATGTTATCAAATACAAGAAGATCAAGATACAATGGGAAATGGGTATTTCTCAATAGAAAGAAGAAAAAGAATGAGGCTATTTAAAAAATATTTATCAAGTAAGGGCAAAAAAGGAAGGACAACCTAGATGTGGTAAACCAAATGAAACTACAGAGATTTCTTGGCAAGGAAAAATATGATGAGTCACAAATATTAATCTTAGTGAAATTAACTCGAAGATTTTAGATAAATGTTAACTAAATGGTGGACAGTCCATAATGACCCCTGAAGAGTGAGCATTGCCTGTTAGCACTTTTCATGTCTTACACATCTCTAATATGCTGTATATCTGAATTTGCATTAAATTTGTTGTTTTGTAAGATGTCATGTGGAATTATATGGTAAATATTTATTTGAAGGAGGCTATCCTTGCTAAGGAGACTGGTGAAGAAAATGTTAGAAATTCAGGATTTCCCTTTTCTTGGCATGACACTTCTCTTTTTTTTACGGTCAGCTTCCTTTTTGAAGTCTACTTTTTGTGAATCTATGTAAAACAGATTCCACAGCACCTTTTAAAGGTAGTTAAATAATAGTAGACCTTTTTTTGAATTATGCCCCAGATTTTCACCTTCTCTGATTTACTTGCTATACTAGCCAGTAGGACTCCACTTATTATTGAAAGTGTCGGGTTACTAACAGAAGGAAATAGTGATGTGATGGCATGCTGTATAAATATGGTATGCAAAGACAGCAAAACGCTCTCAGAAAAATGATCTGTAGAGCTAAAAATTGATGCTTCTGATGGTAATGCTTACAAATCCATAATTCATTATTTGCCCTCTGAGTTTATTTTGTGAGTACATTTTCAAAATAATTTTAATTGATTTGTTTTCATGATTCTACGTTAAAGGTCAGTCAGCAGAAAACATATAGAGAGCTTGTATCTCTGCAAGATTTAGTCTCATTTATATCACAGAAAATTAGACTGCATGTAGCTCTAGGAGTCAAGAAACAAAACCTCTCATGCTTTCCAGAGGATTCAGATAAATGTTTATTAAATCTATCAGAAAAATTATTTATTAAATTAACACCAGGTTTATAAAATTGCTAGGAGATATTTGCATTTCAATATGGGCACACTTTCAATATTTTGTATATTGAAATGCAGATTTTTGTTTATTTTACATTAGGAAGTTGATTCATAATAAGTAATAGCTAAAGTTATGAGAAAATATGCTTACTAAAAACTTATATTTCTGAATTTGTCTAGTTACAATTATACATTAGTTTCTTAAAAAGTAAATAACCTGCAATGGCTGTCTATCTAGGGAGCAAAAACATTTTAAAAGAGGGCCAGGTGCGGTGGCTCACACCTGTAATCCTAGCACTTTGGGAGGCCAAGGCAGGCAGATTGCCTGAGGTCAGGAGATTGAGCCTGGGCAACATGGTGAAACCCCGTCTTAACTAAAATACAAAAAATTAGCCTGGCGCAGTGGCAGGCGCCTGTAATCCCAGCTACCTGGGAGGCTGAGGCAAAAGAATGGCTTGAACCCGGGAGATGGAGGTTGCAGTGAGCTGAGATCTCGCCACTGCACTCCAGCCTGGGCAACAGTAAGACTCCGTCTCAACCAAAAAAAAAAAAAAGAGGACTATAGTGGACCTTATAATTTGGTTTGTAATATTGTTAGTATTAACACACTGAAAACATTTTGACTTACAAGTGGAAATTTCAACCACAGTAAGATATCTAAACCATTTTTATAATTTCTTAATGTGAAAACTTTAAAGCTGTCACATAAAAGTAGAGATCTGTATAATGAACACCATTGTGTGCATAATCTTTTAATAATTGCTAAGATTTTGCCATATTTGCTTCATATTTTTTTCAGTATATTTAATGTAAATATCAGAGATAGCCAAGTGTTAATCCAGGTGTTATCTCCAGAATCACAGAAGTCAGGGTTTGATGGACCTTAGCCATCATCTGGTCTCGGCATCCTCTTAAGCCTGACCTCCTTAAGTACTAAGCTCTGGGGTCCTGCGTGGTTGGCTGAGACAAGAATGTACTATGTAGTGCAAGAATCAGCTTGTACAGGGATGACCAGTTTCACAGGCTTAGTGCATTTATCAGGAAATTGAATAGATATAGCTATTTTCCATGTGCTTCGGCTACTGCAAGCCCGAAATTTGGACCAATGATTCAGACATTTTGAGCTCTTCTAAAGACTTATTCTCAAATACTACTTTGCCTCTGCCCACTAAATTCAACATTTAGAGTTGTTTTTGTTTCTCAAAAAAGATGACTTGCCCTTGTTGGCAATGCTTTTGTGTATGGCATTATCCACTGGAGATGCTTGTTATCCTCAGAAGAATATGAGCTGTTTCCCCTGGATTCAGTGATCACTTGAGGCAGGTGTGCTAGTGGTTCTCAGCTAGCATGGTCATACTTAAAGAGGTCGATACAACAGCTGCCAGAGGAAACACTCCTTTACTGGTACTATTTTGAGACTTATACTCTGTATGTGAAATGAAATTAATACAGGAAATGCTTTCTCTTATTCCAGAAATACTGTTTATAAAATTACAATGACCCAAAATAGTTTTTCATAGTCAAGCTTGAAACTTTAAAAGGTGAATTCCAAGGTACCAGAAAAAAGAAGCTCAAAGCTAACATGGTGAACAGATACTAACAAAAAAATTAAAAGGCCTTATGGGAATCGAGGCCAGATATATGCCTACAGGCTTACCTGTCCTGAGATAGCATCTGAGGTTCCTGAAATAAGCCTAGTCCTCCTGTCCAGTGACTTTGGGCCATGTGGGAAAAACCCTAACCGCTTAAAAGTAAAACCCTATATCTATACCATGCAAAAACAAACAAAAAAACTGGCCCAGAGTCAGTTGTCTGAAGCCAATGAAACTGTTAAGGTCCCAGGCAGAAGCAATTGGAAAACTGCTTTATAGAGATGTTTCTGCAACCCAGGGTACTTAGGATTCCATGGAAAACAATCTTGCTGAGGATAAACTTACAATTAAAAGTAAAAAGCATGCAAAGAAACAAATGAGAAAGAGCCAGCAGTCATAACAAGTGGAGAATTCACACTCCAAGAACTACAGATCATAGTGTAGTCTGAACGGGACTTTAAATTAAGTATGTATAAAATGTCCCAAGAAATAAATAAGGATTAGAGAATAGAAAACATAAGGTAAAGGAGATGTTATCAAAGTAGAGGAGGCAGATTTTAAAAAGAAAATATAAACTGATAAATAACAAGGTATTAGAACATATAGATACCAAATTTTCTTTTGTTCACATTTTAGTCATTGGAGTTGTACGACCACAATCTGTACTTTTGCTTGAATAGGAATGAAATTTGCCAGTGTTTACAAATGCAATAGCAAAATCATACTACTTAAGCTTAGTAAACATTCTTTTCCCTTAAGGAAATCTGACAAAACACATGAAGTCCAAGGCACATAGCAAGAAATGTGTGGATTTAGGCGTCTCAGTAGGTTTAATAGATGAACAGGATACAGAAGAATCAGGTAAGGCTTTATACCATATTTTTCATAAATGCTATTTATAATGTACAATTTTTTTGCTTCCATACCCTTTCCATTCCCACTGATTCTGCCTAATTCTGTTTTCATTACCTCTTATTTATATGCAGTAGACTCCTAATTAGTTTTTCCATGTCTAGATTGTCCTCCTTCCTCCTTCCTATTCATCTATCCCCCACGATGTTCATCTTTCTGAAGCATGTGTCTGATCATACCTCTCCTCTGCTCAGAGGTTCTCATCGGTTCCCATCTGTCTAGAAAATAAAATGTGAACACTTGACCTTGATCAAAATCCTTTGTAATCTGCTGATTACCTACTTCTCTACCCTTCTCATTTCTCTCTTTTACCTACCCTCATGCTTGAATTTCCTGCCTACTTAACATTGATCGCTCTTCACCTTTACACCCCTCACTTAAAACCCCAGCCCTCACTCCCCACACAAACGTGGCTCCCAGTGCCCTGGTCAAAATCTCACTTTCCTTCAAGATCCAGCCAAGTCCACTGCTGTCATGAAGCCTTCTCTGATTTTCCTTTTCCACACCTCTTGCAGGAAACAATTCTTCCCTTCTCTGGACTCCTCTAGTATTTTACAATTTCCTCCCTGAAAGCATTTAATCCCCCTCTTGTTCTGAGATTATTCACGCACTCACCTGAGCTCCCACCACAGTGATTCAGCATGTCATGAGCAGAGCCAGTGAGTGCTTAACGTGTGCTCACCAGAAGCACTTAGCGCAGTGCCTTGCACTGCTCAGCAGCTCCATATTTGTGGAATAAAGCGTTTGTTTACTTCTCCAAAGTGTTTATTATTCCGAAAAGGTTAAATGGCTGTTTTTTTTTAAAAGGTGTTAACAAATTTAAGTATTTATCTCTGACCAATTTTGAGGAAGAATAAACCTGTTCATGTGTTCTAACTCATCAGAGAATAGAAATATGTTTTTGTGAAACTTGTTTTTAACCCAAGGATTTATTGACAAAAGAAAAAAAAAATTGAAAAAGTATTCTGCTTTTTAAAATGCCCTGAATTAAACATTTACGTGCTTGCTATATTTTTCTTAACATGTATGAGTTTGGTCTAGAGAAAATTTCCAAAGAGAAAGTGATGAGGACATCATTGAATATATAGGTAAAAATTCAAAGGCATTTAATCCCTGTAACACACGAAATGAATCAGCCTGAATTTACTTATAAATATACAAGAGAAATGACTCACGTCTTCAGTGATACAGAGCAATTCAGTTGTAAAAAGCTAGGAAAAGTGGAAAAGTGTGTAAGAGTTTCAGCAAGTACGTTCATTACCCACTGACTAGAAAAGGGACAAGGTAAAGCTATTATTATAGTATATACTCATGTATATCTTCTTCAAGAAGATGAGTCTTATAAAAATTAATATGTCTGTAGAATTCTCTAAATTGTTAAGGGAAGGTAGTACTTATATCTTAAATTTGCATAGGAGAATTATAGTTTCTGTTAATTATCATGGATTGTTTACATTTGCTGACTGATTGACCTACCTATGTATTTATTCATTGTTGTATTTTCATCTAATTCCAAAAGCATTTGAACCTGGTCTTAGATTATTACTCAAAGTTGATATCCTAATTCCCTATTTAGATTAGAACTTCTGATAAACAGCGTAGTTTTACCTTTTTCCTTTCAGTTTACTTTTTTTTAAAACTACTGTATTTGTGGGTAGTGTGCTCAAAGTTTTTTTTTTTACAGTGTTTGTCAAATAATAGTGAAGTAGAACACAGAGGTGGAGTTTTGCCAAGTGCTGTGTCATGCTGTGCTAGAGACCTAACATTCTGTGTTGCTACACCAGCAGAATTTATTCCTCTCCTTTTGCTTTATTATAGGCTTGCAGTGTAAGTTTAAATATAGTAAACAGTTGTTGTTTTAAACAAATGATCTTGTTTTATTGTGCTTTTCTGTGCTTTTAAAACATATTTGGAGATTTTTTTACATACAAAAAAGTACAAAGTATTTTGTTGTGTGTACTCATGTATTAACAGCAGAGTTGATTATAAATATTTTCTCATATTTGCTTCACGTTCTTTTCACAAATTCAATATATTTTTTAAAAACCAGCTCAGCAAGGTTATTGCTGCTGAGGGGCAGCTTCCGTTACTCCCCACTCCTTGCCACTCTCCTGTCCCTCTCAGAGGAGCTCTCACTGCACTGGGGGTTTTCCTTTCAGTTCATTCAACGTACATGTATATATCTATGAATAGTATGTGATTTTATGTTTGTATTTTAAATTTGCATAAACAGTACCACTTTGTATGTAGATACCTAGATATTTGCTTTATAATTTTACATTGTTCTCCAGAAGAGACTTTCCATTTCCTCACCTCTTTAATTATACCTAATATTGTTAGAATTTAAATTTTTGGCCAATTTGATGGATTTGTTTGTTGTCTTTCTGGTTTATTGATTACTAAGATTGGGTCTCATTATTCTTTAAAACAAACTTTTACTCCATTAAACTGATGATAGCTGGAGATGGGATTTTGCTTAGCAATTCTGCACATGTCCCTGTTTGAGGGGACAAGTCAGAAGCCTGCAGCATGATGCTGTGTCTGGAGGGTGCACTGTTTCTAGCCTTCCACTAGCCCAGAGTGGTACCAGCTGTTCCTTTTCAGTCTTCTGTGCTGGCTCCTCCTCACCTCCCCAGCCTCTCACATAGGCCCCAGGGCTGTGGCCTTTGATCTCTTCTCTTCCTGTCTGTGCTCACTTTGTAGGTAGTCTCATCCGGTCTCCTGACTTCAGATACCATTTCTGTGCTGATGATGCCCCAGTTCATTCCACATGTGGGTATCATTCTGACTTACCCCACCAGTCTCTGCTGGGGTGTCTAATTAGCATCTCAGGTCTGATGTGTCCCAGATCCCTGGTTCACCCCTTACCTCTAAGCACACTTCCCCCATAGTCTTCCGCCATCCTTCCATCTGCTTGGCCAAAAATCTTGAAGTCATCCTTGATGCCCATCTTTCTCACGTGTTGCCTCTAATCTACCAGTAAAACCTTTTGGCTCTTCACTTCAAAATGTCTTCAGAATCCATCCACTTTTAATCACCTCCAACACCCCACCCCAGCCACATCCTCTCTACTAAATTGCTTCTGGAATAGCTCCTGATTGGTCTCTGTGGTTCTACCCTGTTCCTTTACAGACTATCTTCCACATAGCAGCCAAAGTGGCCTTGTAACAATTGTGTCATTCCTTTGCTTAAAAGCCCCAGGGGTTTCCTGACTCATTTGGAGCACTGGTCAGGCACCCACCAGGAGCTCTGTCTTCCTCCTTACCATCTCCCTGAGGCTCAGCTCCCCAACCTTCCTCCCTCGCGTGCTCAGCTGCAGCCACACGGGTCTCCTGCCTCTTTCTTGAACACCCGCAGCAGGCCCCTGTCTCAGGGACTTTGCACTCCTTTCCTCTGTTAAGAATGCCCTCTAGGAGGATTCCATTCCAAGATGGCCAAATAGGAACAGCTCCAGTCTGCAGTTCCCAGCGTGATTGACGCAGAAGACGGATGATTTCTGCATTTCCAACTGAGGTACCTGGTTCATCTCATTGGGACTGGTTGGACAGTGGGTGCAGCCCACAGAGGGTGAGCCAAAGCAGGGCAAGGCATCGCCTCACCCAGGAAGCACAAGGGGTCAGGGGATTTCCCTTTCCTAGCCAAGGGACGCTGTGACAGACAGTACCTGGAAAAACGGGACACTCCTGCCCAAATACTGCACTTTTCCAACAGTCTTAGCAAATGGCACACCAGAAGATTATATCCCGCATCTGGCTTGGTGGATCCCATGCCCACAGAGCCTTGCTCACTGCTAGCACAGCAGTCTGAGATCTACCTGTGAGGCAGCAGCCTGGCAGAGGGAGTGGCATCTGCCATTGCTGAGGCTTGAGTAGGTAAACAAAGAGGCTGGGGAAGCTCAAACTGGGCAGAGCCCACCGCAGCTCAGCAAGGCAGACTGCCTCTGTAGTCTCCACCTCTGGGGGCAGGGCATAGCTGAGCAAAAGACAGCAGAAACTTCTGCAGGCTTAAACATTCCTGTCTGACAGCTCTGAAGAGAGCAGTGGTTCTCCCAGCATGGTGTTTGAGCTCAGAGAAAGGACAGACTGCCTCCTCAAGTGGGTCCCTGACCCCCGTGTAGCCTAACTAGGAGACACCTCCCCGTAGGGGCCGACTGACACCTCATACAGGCGGGTACCCCTCTGGGGCGAAGCTTCCAGAGGAAGGATCAGGCACCAATATTTGCCGTTCTGCAATATTTGCTGTTCTTCAGCCTCTGCTGGTGATACCCAGGCATACAGGGCCTGGAGTGGACCTCCAGCAAACTCCAACAGATGTGCAGCTGAGGGACCTGACTGTTAGGAGGAAAACTAACAAACAAAAGGATTAGCATCAACATCAACAAAAAGAACATCCACACCAAAACCCCATTTGATGTTGGTGGGTCACCAACATCAAAGACCAAAGGTAGATAAAATCACAATGATGGGGAGAAACCAGACCAGAACATCTGAAAATTCTGAAAACCAGAGACCCTCTTCTCTTCCAAAAGATCGCAGCTCCTCGCCAGCAATGGAACAAAGCTGGATGGAGAATGACTTTGATGAGCTGACAGAAGTAGGCTTCAGAAGGTCAGTAATAACAAACTTTTCCAAGCTAAAGGAGGATGTTTGAACCCATTGCAAGGAAGCTAAAAACCTTGAAAAAAGCTTAGACAAATGGCTAACTAGAATAAACAGTGTAGAGAAGACCTTAAATGACCTGATGGAGCAAAACTGTGGCACGAGAACTACGTGACGCATACACAAGCTTCAATAGCTGATTTGATCAAGTGGAAGAAAGGGTATCAGTGATTGAAGATCAAATTAATGAAATAAAGCGAGAAGAGAAGGTTAGAGAAAAAAGAGTAGAAAGAAACGAACAAAGCCTCCAAGAAATATGGGACTATGTGAAAAAACCAAATCTACATTTGATTGGTGTACCTGAAAGTGACGGGGAGAATGGAACCAAGTTGGAAAACACTCTTAGGGATATTATCCAGGAGAACTTCCCCAACCTAGCAAGGCAGGCCAATATTCAAATTTAGGAAATACAGAGAACACCACAAAGATACTCCTTGAGAAGAGCAACCGCAAGACACATAATTGTCAGATTCACCAAGGTTGAAATGAAGGGAAAAATGTTAAGGACAGCCAGAGAGAAAGGTCGGGTCACCCACAAAGGGAAACCCATCAGACTTAACAGCAGATCTCTCGGCAGAAACTCTACAAGCCAGAAGAGAGTGGGGGCTGGTATTCAGCATTCTTAAAGAAAAGAATTTTCAACCCAGAATTTCATATCTAGCCAAACTAAGCCTCATAAGTGAAGGAGAAAAAAAAATCCTTTATAGACAAGCAAATGCTGAGAGATTTTGTCACCACCAGACCTGCCTTACGAGAGTTCCTGAAGGAAGCACTAAACATGGAAAGGAACAACCAGTACCAGCTACTGCAAAAACATGCCAAATTGTAAAGACCATCAATGCTTGGAAGAAACTGCATCAACTAACGGGCAAAATAACCAGCTAACATAGTGACGGGATCAAATTCACACATAACAATATTAACCTTTAATGTAAATGGGCTAAATGCCTCAATTAAAAGACACAGGCAAATTGGATAAAGAGACAAGACCCATCAGTGTGCTGTATTCAGGAGACCCATCTCACATGCAGTGACACACATAGACTCAAAATAAAGGGATGGAAGAAGATCTACCAAGCAAATGGAAAGCAAAAAAAAAAAAAAAAAAAAAAAAAAAAAGCAGGGGTTGCAATCCTAGTCTCTGATAAAACAGACTAAACCAGTAAAGATCAGAAGAGACAAAGAAGGCCATTACATAATGGCAAAGGGATCAATTCAACAAGAAGAGCTAACTATCCTAAATATATATGCACCCAATACAGGAGCACCCAGATTCATAAAGCAAGTCCTTAGAGACCTACAAAGAGACTTAGACTCCCATACAATAATAATGGGAGACTTTAACACCCCACTGTCAGTATTAGACAGATCAACAAGACAGAAGGTTAACAAGGATATCTAGGACTTGAACTCCGCTCTGCACCAAGCAGACCTAAGAGACATCTACAGAACTCTCCACCACAAATCAAGAGAATATACATTCTTCTCAGCACCACATCGCCCTTATTCTAAAATTGACCACATAGTTGGAAGTAAAGCACTCCTCAGCAAATGTAAAAGAACAGAAATCACAACAAACTGTCTCTCAGACCACAGTGCAATCCAATTAGAACTCAGGATTAAGAAACTCACTCAAAACCGCACAACTACATGGAAACTGAACAACATGCTCCTGAATGGCTGATGGGTAAGTAATGAAATGAAGGCAGAAATAAAGATGTTCTTTGAAACCAGTGAGAACCAAGACACAACATATCAGAATCTCTGGGACATATTTAAAGCAGTGTGTAGAGGGACATTTATAGCACTAAATGCCCACAAGAGAAAGCAGGAAAGATGTAAAATCAACACCTAGCATCAAAATTAAAGGAACTAGAGAAGCAAGAGCAAACAAATTCAAAAGCCAGCAGAAGGCAAGAAATAACTAAGATCAGAGCAGAACTGAAGGAGATAGAGACACAAAAAAACCCTTGAAAAAATCAATGAATCCAGGAGCTGGTTTTTTGAAAAGATCAACAAAATTGATAGACTGCTAGCAAGACTAATAAAGAAGAAAAGAGAGAAGAATCAAACAGACACAATAAAAAATGATAAAGGGGCTATCACCACTGATCCCACAGAATACAAACTATCATCAGAGAATACTATAAACACCTCTATGCAAATAAACTAGAAAATCTAGAAGAAATGGATAAATTCCTGGACACATACACCCTCCCAAGACTAAACCAGGAAGAAGTTCAATCTCTGAATAGACTAATAACAGGCTCTGAAATTGAGGCAATAATTAATAGGCTACCAACCAAAAAAAGTCCAGGACCAGATGGATTTACAGCTGAATTCTACCAGAGGTACAAAGAGGAGCTGGTACCATTCCTTCTGAAACTATTCCAATCAATAGAAAAAGAGGGAATCCTCCCTAACTCATTTCATGAGGCCAGCATCATCCTGATACCAAAGCCTGGCAGAGACATAACAAAAAAAAGAGAATTTTAGACCAATATCCCTGATGAACATCGATGTGAAAATCCTCAATAAAATACTGGCAAACCAAACCCAGCAGCACATCTAAAAGTTTATCCACCATGATCAAGTCGGCTTCATCCCTGGGATGCAAGGCTGGTTCAACATATGCAAATCAATAAACATAATCCATCACATAAACAGAACCAATGACAAAAACCACATGATTATCTCAATAGATGCAGAAAAGGCTTTCAACAAAATTCAATAGCCCTTCATGCTAAAAAATCTCAATAAGCTAGGTATTGATGGAACGTATCTCAAAATAATAAGAGCTATTTATGACAAACCCACAACCAATATCATACTGAATGAGCAAAAGCTGGAAGCAGTCCCTTTGAAAAATGGCACAAGACAAGGATGCCCTCTCTCACCACTCCTATTCAAAATAGTGTTGGAAGTTCTGGCCAAGGCAATCAGGCAAGAGAAAGAAATAAAGGGTGTTCAATTAGGAAAAGAAGAAGTCAAATTGTCCCTGTTTGCAGATGACATGATTGTATATTTAGAAAACCCCATTGTCTCAGCCCAAAATCTCCTTAAGCTGATAAACAACTTCAGCAAAGTCTCAGGATGCAAAATCAATGTGCAAAAATCACAAGCATTCCTATACACCAATAACAGACAAACGGAGAGCCAAATCATGAGTGAACTCCCATTCCCAATTGCTAAAAAGAGAATAAAATATCTAAGAATCCAACTTACAAGGGATGTGAAGGACCTCTTCAAGGAGAACTACAAACCACTGCTCAACAAAATAAAAGAGGACACAAACAAATGGAAGAACATTCCATGCTCATGGATAGGAAGAATCAACAACGTGAAAATGGCCATACTGCCCAAGGTAATTTATAGACCATCTCCATCAAGCTACCAATGACTTTCTTCACGGAACTGGAAAAAAACTACTTTAAAGTTCATATGGAACCAAAAAACAGCCCACGTTGCCAAGACAATCCTAAGCAAAAGGAACAAAGCTGGAGGCATCATGCTATCTGACTTCAAACTATACGACAAGGCTACAGTAACCAAACAGCATGGTACTGGTACCAAAACAGATATATAGACCAATGGAACAGAACAGAGGCCTCAGAAATAACACCACACATCTACAACCAGCTGATCTTTGACAAATCTAACAAAAACAAGAAAAGGGGAAAGGATTCCCTATTTAATAAACAGTGCTGGGAAAACTGGCTAGCCATATGTAGAAAGCTGAAACTGGATCCCTTCCTTACACCTTATACAAAAATTGATTCAAGATGGGTTAAAGACTTAAATGTTAGACCTAAAACCATAAAAACCCTAGAAGAAAACCTAGGCAATACCATTCAGAACATAGACATGGGCAAGGACTTCATGTCTAAAACACCAAAAGCAATGGCAACAGAAGACAAAATAGACAAATGGGATCTAATTAAACTAAAGAGCTTCTGCACGAAACTACCATCAGAGTGAACAGGCAACCTATGGAATGGGAGAAAATTTTTGCAATCTACTCATCTGACAAAGGGCTAATATCCAGAATCTACAAATAACTCAAACAAGTTTACAAGAAAAAAAACAACCCCATCCAAAAGTGGGCAAAGGATATGAACAGACACTTCTCAAAAGAAGACATTTATGCAGCCAACAGACACATGAAAAAATGCTCATCATCACTGGTCATCAGAGAAATGCAAATCAAAACCACAGTGAGATACCATCTCACACCAGTTAGAATGGCGATCATTAAAAAGTTGGAAGCAACAGATGATGGAGAGGATGTGGGGAAATCGGAACGCTTTTACACTATTGGTGGGAGTGTAAACTAGTTCAACCATTGTGGAAGACAGTGTGGCAATTCCTCAAGGATCTAGAACTAGAAATACCATTTGATCCAGCCATCCCATTACTGGGTATATACCCAAAGGATTATAAATCATGCTACTATAAAGACACATGCACACGTATGTTTATTGCGGCACTATTAACAATAGCAAAGACTTGGAACCAACCCAGATGTCCATCAATTATAGACTGGATTAAGAAAATGTGGCACATATTTACCATGGAATACTCTGCAGCCATAAAAAAGGATGAGTTCATGTCCTTTGCAGACTTGGATGCAGCTGGAAATCATCATTCTGAGTAAACTGTCACAAGGACAGAAAACCAAACACCGCATGTTCTCACTCACAGATGGGAATTGAACAATGAGAACACTTGAACACAGGGAGGGGAACATCACACCCTGGGGCCTGTCATGGGGTGGGGGCCTGGGGGAGGGATAGCATTAGGAGATATACCTAATGTAAATGACTAGTTTATGGGTGCAGCAAACCAACATGGCACATGTATACCCTATGTAACAAACCTGCACGTTGTGCATATGTACCCTAGAACTTAAAGTATAAAAAAAAAAAAAAAAAAGAACGCCCTCTACCAGATACTGTGAGACTTACGCCACCCTGCCTTCAGCTCTCTAGCAGATGTCGTTTGATCAGTGGGGCCTTCCTGAATATAAATATATGTAATATAAATATATATAAAAACAAAAGGCACCTCACCCTCTTACTGCTAGCATCACTTACGCCCTTTATTCTGTTTTCTTTTTCCTCATAGCACTTAACCACCACCAGACACTTGTGTGCGTGTTTATTATCTATTTCTTCCAACTAGAAAATAAATTATATAAGGGCAAAGATGATGTTTTGCTTGCTGCTGTATCTTCAGCTCCTTAGGATTGTGCCTGGCAAATAGTAGGTAATAAACAGTTGTTTATTGAATTACTAGAAAAAAATCTCTAAAATCTGTAGTCCTGCAGCATGTGAAGAAGGAATATTAGACTCTGCCTGCCTTTCTGAAAGTGACATATACTTAAGTGATGCTAATAGGATATGTAAGAACATGCTTCATATGTTTGAGCCTTGATGATCTCTGACAGGAGAAATGGGGTAAACCTTTTTTTAAAAAGGACAGTATAATCTGTTCTTGGCAGCAGCTTTCTATAATCTAGGAAATAATTCAATATTATTAATTTTCGAATTAGATATAGTCGGCCGGGTGCAGTGGCTCACACCTGTAATCCCAGCACTTTGGGAGGCCAAAGCAGGCGGATCATCTGAGGTCGGGAGTTCAAGACCAGCCTGACTAACATGGAGAAATCCTGTCTCAACTAAAAATATAAAAATTAGCCAGGCATGATGGCGCATGCCTGTAATCCCAGCTGTTTGGGAGGCTGAGGCAAGAGAATTGCTTGAACCTAGGAGGCGGAGATTGCGGTGAGCCGAGATGGTGCCATTGCACTCCAGCCCGGGCAACAAGAGCTAAACTCCATCTCAAAAAAATAATAATAATAGTAATTAGATATAATCGTTTTTCATTAAATTCCTTCACTAAAATCAAATGGTAACTGTGCTACTTGATACCTTTACTTATAAATAGTGTTTATGTTATATGGCCAAGGTCAGTATAGGTATTGTTAATGTGATAATGGCATTTGTTTATTAATTTGTTATTTATTGGTTATTGGAGCAGATTACTAGAAGGTAATTCAAGTTTTTTGACTATTCTGTGTTCTCATCCTCAGTAATGATCATTCCAGGTTGATAAAGATCTGTTCTGTTTTTTAATAGCTCCAGAGGAGAAAAGTTTATTCTCTTTTTGAATGATTTTTTTTTTTTATGTATCACTTCGGCACCTATTCAATGTGTGCACAATTACTATCGCCCAGGAGCTCCTGGCTGATTACTATGATGTGGCATGAGCCCAAATTTGGCAAGGTTCACTTCCCAAGGCTGGAATCAGGGAAAGACCGGTGATGGCCAAAGTGGTCCCAGAAGGAAGGGAAGGAATTTATTTATCCCTACACTGCTGCATTTGGAAGGCTGTTGGTGAGGAGGGAAAGGAAGGGCAAACATTCTAGACCAAGGAGTTGCTTGACCGAAGACACACAGGTTGGGGAAGAGGAATAGGGTATAAGAGTGTGAATGGGACAGAAAAACAAGAGAGTTCCACAGGGCCCAAGGCTGGGAAGCAGGCTGGGGGACAGGTAATAGATGCTGTGCAGGGGAGTTTCAGCATGAGAACTGCCATTTCAGGTTTAAACTCTATTCACTGGGCTTGGATACAATGAACACCCCTGTCATGTCAGTTTATACCCATTTCTTCATGTTCTGACACTTGAAAACTATTATTTTTTAGATAGGATTCTTGAGTATTTTAATTTTTCTAAATAGTGACACATACAGTGTTTCTTTGATTACAAAAGTCTGAACCGAAGTTGTTTAAAGCTATTGCCCCTTTAGGACCACATATATCTGACTTTTATCCTGGGTTATGTTCTCAAATGTTCTGGAGACAAAAGATTATAGGGCTTTTAATCTGTGACCCTTGAATTTTCATTGTTGAGGTTTGTTGTTTGTTTGTTTGTTTTTTGCTGTTGCTGCTGTTTTATTTTGTAGTGGGAATTTAGACAGTAATGACAGAAAGAAGCATGTTTCATTAAGTGGATGATCCCATTCAGCAACAATAATACTAATACTCCCACAGAGCCAAAGCCTTTTTTCTGGGTGGATGAGTGTTTTATAAAAGAAGTACCTCAGGACTTCAGCCTCTCTCATTCTCCACCAGATGGAGTTTAACAGTTTGGATGGAAAGTCTGAAATGATTTTCCCTTGTGATATCCCGTTTTTTATGTCTATGTATAAATGTATAATGACTAATTTGGAAATAGCGCTATCAATTTATTAAACTAGGAAGCATTATTTCCCCTGGAATTAGTTTCTGCTCTGGCCCAGGATCACTGTGGTGTAGAACTTTCACCACAGAATAGCCTCTGGTAAAAGATGAGGCCTGTACTTGTCCTACTTTAACGCTTCTGTATATGTTTTAAAACCTTGCCCCAATCAACTCTATAAGAATGTTATAAAGAGAGCAGTGTGTTATGAAGTGTTTCATTTTACTAACAATTTTATTTTCCAAAGAAAAATGCAAATGATTACTATATTAGACATACAGTAGGAGTAGAAGAAGTGGCTGACTTAAAACATGATGAAGGAGAATAAAATGTTTCTGGTGCTACAGTTTCAAGTTTTGAAGTGGACAGCCCAGCAGAACAAAGCTAGGGAGACCTGGGGGCTGGTCACTGTCGAGTGAGCTCATGTGCCTGGTTCCCCCCTGCATCCTCTTCACACCCCGATGCGTCTCCACCTCCCTCATCATAGGGGATACCTGCCCCTCTTGGGGAGCAGGCTCTTGGCAGCAGCTCTTTTGAGAAGTGAGCCACTATGTAAAGCCTCTGCCATTCTTGAGAGTCCTGCCTGACAGTGTATTCTCCATTTTCTTAGCCCAGTCAGTGAGGATAAGTGAAAACATTGTATCGTGTAAAGTGGGATATTTTAACACACAAACTTGCTGTCTTTTCCTTTTAATGGTGAACAACCTTTTGTGGTATCATGGGGTCTTGATATCATCTCTCATCTTCTTAATCTAACATAATTCGAATATTAGTCATGTTACACAAACAGACTGCTAGAAACCACACCGGGATTTCATTTGCTGTGTGTCAACAGTAGAAATTCAGGACAATCCTCTGGTTTTGCCAGCAGTAAGTTTCCACAACAGTTATCAAAGTCAGCCTCTTTTATTCCAAACAGTGATTTTGGTGGCTTTTCAGACACCTTTCATTATGTCTTCACACCTGCAGTTATCGAAGGATGTCTGGTCTAGCTATATGAAAACTGAAAATCCAAAATAACCCAGGAAACTCTTTTATTTCCTGGGTTCTCCCAAACACAGTCGAAGTATGTCGTTTCATCATGCTAACAGATTATAGATGACTATTAGATAATATAGTGCTGAAAGAAAAATGTCCCACATCAGGAGCCACGTGTCTTTTCAGGAACCAGTACTATGAAACATCAAGTCTTGATCAGTATGAAAATTGTCTTCTCTGTTTTGGTAGGTACACTTCCTGTTTCCTAACAACAGGGTGGTAGTGACATCAGTAGTGGGGTCCTGCCGCATGTGAAGAGGGAATATTAGACTCAGCATGCTTTTCTGAAAGTGATGTATACTTGATACTAATAGGATATTTAAGAACATGCCTTATATGTTTGAGTCTTGATGATCTCTGACATGGAAAATGGGGTAAACCTTTTTTTAAAAAGGACAAAATTTGGGAGACCTGATTGTAAATCTAAAAAGTCACAACCCCTGCCAGAGTTTGCAGAACAGTAGCCAGAAACCTAAGGATTGTGTTTTTAGGTTTATAGGACACATTTGGGGGCTTAGTCATTTAACTGATCTTTTCTGTAGCATAAACATAATCATCACCAGGAAACGTCTCTGAGCTTTCATTCATTAAACAAAATGTACTAAACACTTAAGAGGCAGTCAGTGTTACTACAAAGCACCCCAGTATAGTACTTATTTTTTAAACATCATTACCACTTGGTAATATCTCCGTCAGCTCATAGCGTTCTGGAAAAAGCCCAGGTCTTATGCTGTGTTTGTGCTGAGTTGCTCCCTTACATGTGCATTGTTTTGTTTTTCACTAAAGGTTTTCTCCATATTTCTTTCTAATTAATGTCAGTGTTTTCCAAGCATTATCTTCAGTCTTTTCCTTTTAAGGATCCTAGACCTGTTCTCTACTCTGCCAACCACACCATACCCAGGTTATCATTCACCATCATATTGTGCCTGGTCCCTGGTTGATAAAGAGTGTTCATTAAAGGGTGATGTGAAAATGATGTGATGAAAGGCCACAGACCCCTTCTGAATTCTTTACCACCCTTAGCAACAGCAGGCTGCGCGGTACCTGTCTTATCTTTTAGCAGATGGAATTCATGTTCTAATTCTCAATGGAATAAATTAGGGGATGTTGGGAAACGTTTGCGTTTAATGAAGCAGGAGGAATTATACATTTTTATAAGCCAGCCATTAAAATGTGGACATTCGGCATTTAAAAGAAGTTTCTATTTAGTTTAAAACTAGCAACTTGAGCTGCAATGATAAGAAATGCTCATGGGAAGCCTAATCCCTCTGCTCCACTGCACATTCCCTTGTTTTCTTGCCATAAAACATGATATAGCCTCGGGAATTTTGTTCTCCTGTTCTTGGGGTATTAGTGACTACATTTTAGTTTTCACCTTTTGTGTCAAAATTCAAGCCGCCAGCAATTTGCTTTTCATCCTTTGATCCGAAGAATGTTTTCGTCAACAAATGCTGGACTTCAGTGCACGGAATGTTAATGTGTACCCTCAGCCGCCAGCTAGGAGAACCGTTTAATATGACGAAGTGCAGTGAGAAGCATTATTCTTGTTGGAGTTTAAGTACTTACAGTAAAGATGATGTTTGATCACAGGTTTTAAAACCTATATCACATTTACTCTTAAAAATAATTTAGGTGCATTTTTAAAAATTACTAGCAAAGCTTTTTTTCCAAATGAAACCTGTAGAATATATTATCATCGGGATTTTTATAGAACACATTATTACTCTTTTTAAGAAACACTTCCATGTGTAGAATATGAAACCATAATAGGCTTTAGGATTTATACTTAAAGCAGTGCTAATATTATTTTGAATGACACGCACGTGACACAGTATTTTGGTTTACTTCCTAAAGTTAAACATTAAACTCTGCCCCATTATGTTTTTAATGATGATTTTATCTTTAAAATATATATATATAATTGTATTCACATTCTTTAAAAAAATTTTTTCCCTAGGTTGCCATTGTTTATCTGGCTTTCAGAGCAATATTTCTAAACATATGTGAAAAACAAAAACAGGCAAACTTCAACAACAAAAGAAGGTTGCTACTGAGTGTACGTGGGCCAGGTTGCTACCCTCGGGAGCCCCTTCTCTCAGGGAGCCCCTCCTGCTGCTTTTGCGACTCCGACTCTTCCAGCAGGTGTCACTGTCTGGCAGCAGTGGGCGAGCAGGTTGCGGTTCACCTGACTCATCTTCAAATAATAACTTTTAAAATTTATCTTTAGGGAAGTTGTTTGACGTAAATGTATCAAAACTTTGACAAAAATGTTGCTACATCATATGCCTGATTTTTCCCTCATGAATTGAAATTCACAGAAAATAAAGGAATTAATCTTGTGCTGATATAAAATTTTATTGAGTATTAGAAACATTTGTTTATAATGAGAGGGGAATGTGGCTGGGAGGACATAATTAAATGAAACTTTTAGGACCATTTATTTATGAATTTGCTAAGCAAATATAGATTCCTTAGGTCTGTTCTAGAGTCTCTGATGGCTGCAAAGGGGTAAGCCACAGTGCTTACCCTCCTGAAGTATTAGTGTGTATTATACACACCAAGAAAGGAACAATTGTAATAGAAAAGGAGAAAGTCAGTGTATCTTATTGGCATAATGACAGGGCTCCTAAGTTCATAGAAACCTGTTTTTGAATCCTGGCTTTGATGCATTCTAATCATATACAGTACAAGCGTCTTAACTTCCTTGTGGACGATGGGTGTGGTATCAACTCTGTCATGGGTGGTAATTAGGTTTAAACCTGGAGGGTGATGTGGCATAGATGTTGGCAAACTTTTTAATGTCAAGGGCTGGATAGTAAATATTTTAGGCTTTGCAAGCCACCTATTCTCTGTCATGAATACTAAACTGTGACTGTAGCACAAAAGCAGCCACAGACAGTATATAAAGAAATGAGCCTGGCTGTGTTCCAATAAAACTTTATCCACAAGAACCAGTGGAGAGCCACATGCAGCTGGTGACCATAGTTTGCCAATCCCTGATATAACCATTACTCACCTGTAATCCCAACACTTTGGGAGGCCGAGGCGGGTGGATCACCTGAGGTCAGGAGTTCGAGACCAGCCTGGACAACATGGTGAAACCCCATCTCTACTAAAAATTCAAAAATTAGCCAGGCATGGTGGCGGGCACCTGTAATCCCAGCTACTCGGGAGGCTGAAGCAGGAGAATCGCTTGAACCTGGGAGGCAGAGGTTGCAGTGAGCCAGGATTATGCCACTGCACTCCAGCCTGGGTGACGGAGCAAGACTCCAAGACTTCATCTCAAAAAAACAAAAAAAGACAACAACAAAAAAACCAGTTACTCAACATAGTATCATAGTTGTTACATTAAGTAACATGCAGTAGCAAAGTAAGCAGTATCACAGAGTCATATATGACAAGTGTTTTGAGTCCATAACAAGTCCTCGTTCTTGTCCTCGCAGACTTGTTGATCCCAGGCAAGGCACTTTTCCTTTCTGGGTCTTTTATCAGTACGACTTTTGATTCAGCAGCAGTAGTCTTGTTTAGGGGGCAGGGGCAGAGGTTAAGGGGGACAGGGAAGTATATAAAGGACTTTTATTCTTATGAATCCAAACAGAGGGCAGAGTTGTCTGTGCTTTGTTTTGGTGCCATGGATGTTTAAAAGGATACCATTGTCTTCTGTTCATTTAAGCTACCCATTTTATCTTTTCTCTGTTACCCAGAATATCAGTCCTGTTTAACAAATATGTAATGATTCAAAATTCATTTGCAGGTTTTTAAACTTTGACAGTGGTCTCCTCTAGCAGAGATTTCAGATACTATGTATTCAGAGACAGAAACATCATTCTGTGCTTATCTCAGTGAAAGAAACCCAGGAAAGGAATCCCAGCCCCTCCTACATCCTCTCCAAGCTACAGGCATGTGGCTCATCCAGGAGGGGAGAAGGGAGCAGAGAAGCCACCCTGGGTGTCTTCTCACCCATACTGCTAATCCTGACCTGACCTGAAATTTAATATAATCAAGGCAAAATCAGATTAAAATGGAGCCAAATAGTTTTACACTTCAAATAGTTTTTACGTACATAAAAAATATATGGTGTTCGTTTTAAATTATTCATATTATTTGCATATGCTAAAAAAGAAATCAGCATGCTTCTTGAAATGTCTTAACAATTTAAAATATTTATAATATAACTGATTCTTAAACTTTTATATAATGCAGTATATTTGAAATTTTAAAAGTTCAATTATTTACATTCTCCTTGGGAACTACATTTTATATATTCTGTTACTTGTAATCAAATAATTATATGACATTCTTAATGTCTGTACCTACAAACATTGAATTCATGCATATTTATAAGGTAGCTTATTGACTATAATTCATTGTTGACCTTTCTGATGATTCTGTAGTTAGATTTTTAAAATATGATTGAATGTGGAATATCTAGGCATAGACTAACATGGGTTTGAATCTTAGCTGTGACATTTATGAGCTGTGGGCTCAACACTTTAAAAGTAATTAACTGCATTTTTCATCTTTTAAATCATTCTCTGAGAAAAAGTCAACTCCTTAATTAGTCCTTGTTTGAATTATGATCAAATAGTATTGGTTTGTACAGAATGATGCTAACTTAGGATCCAGGCTATAGATGGCTGCAACCGGAATAGAGCCATTTAGTCATCATATGTACAATAGAGTAAGAAATGCAAAAAAAAAAAAAAAAAAAAAATAGATACAAGATAAGAGCACTTTTAGGTTCTAAGAATTTAAAATGTGTATCTAGGTTAGAGTGAATTGGGGTGAAATTTCCTGTGCTTCCAAGTTAACCAGTAGAAGTGTTGAAATTGATTTCAAGAATTGATAGTGTCCTATTAAACAATCAGAAGACAGAAGGTACTAGTGAGAAGTCTTGATTTGACTATGGGGCTAATAGGGAGGTGCTTGTTGTGCAAGCTTATGTGAGAGAATAGCTGTATCAGTAGAGTAAAAGACCCTAGAGCGGGCTGGGTGCAGTGGCTCACGCCTGTAATCCCAGCACTTTGGGAGGCCAAGGCAGGTAGATCACTTGAGGTCAGGTGTTCAAGACCCGCCTGACCAACATGGTGAAACCCCGTCTCTACTAAAAGTGCAAAAATTAGCCAGGCATGGTGGCGGATGCCTGTGATCCCAGCTACTCAGGAGGCTGAGGCAAGAGAATCAGTTGAAGCTGGGAGGCGGAGGTTGCAGTGTACATGTGTATTCCATATATACAAGTGAAGATATGAATCCATACTGATAACTTCCAGTCCAGCACCACTGAATTTATTCTAGTCGTCTCCATTTCCTTCTCTTCTTCACCCACAGTGAGAAACCTGGTTCGCACCTACAGTATGTTTACATATTTGCTCAGTTCTAGTATATAAATAAACTAGTTTCAGAAATCCTTACCTTTACTCCTGTAAGAAACAGATTTAAAATTACGTGCAGCGTGTGCCATTCTTGTCTCTAGCCTTCACAGTCTCCAGTCAAAACCCTCTTTGCCAAGGTTATCTAGGACAGGACCTTACTTTCCATGCCCTTAGCGTGGCTGTGCCATCCATGCAGCTGCAGTCAGAGCCGTCTGTCTCAGCTTGCATTCCTCTTAGGTTCACCTCACATCCTAGTTGATTCCGTTTTTATTTACTTACAATAGAATTTACTTTATGGTGTATAGTACGTGGTTTCTGACAAATGCATAGAATTGTATGTTCATCACATGGACACAAGGAGGGGAACATCACACACCAGGGTCTGTTGGGGGTGGGGGACAAGGGGAGGGAGAGCATTAGGACAAATACCTAATGCATACGGGGCTTGAAACCTAGAAGACGGGTTGATGGGTGCAGCAAACCTCCCTGGCACATGTATACCTCCATGGCACATGTATGTAACAAACCTGCACATTTGCCACATGTATCCCTGAACTTAAAGTATAATAAATTTTTTAAAAATTGTGTGTTTATCCCACCTTTCTTTTCTAATGTTGGTAATTTGTATCTTCTCTCTCTCTTTCTTGGCTAGTGTTACCAGAGAATTTTTCTAAGAACCCAGCTTTTGGTTTCCTTGCCTTTCTCTATTTTTCTTTTTTCAATGTCATCATTTCTGTTCTTATTTTGATTATTTTTTCCCTCTCCTTGCTTTGAGTTTAGTTTGATCTTCTTTTTCTGATTTCTTAAACTGAAAATTTAGATTTATCCGAGAACCTTCTTTTCTAATGAAAGTTTTGAATACGATAAATTTCCCACTGACCACTGCATTAGTTACATCCCACAAAATTCGAATGTTGTGTTTTAATTTTCATCCAGTTGAAAATATTTGACATGTTTTGAGACTTCCTCATTAACCCAATGAATATTTAGAGATGTGTTCTTTTTTTTCTTCAACTTCTAAGTTCAGGGGTACATGTGCAGGGTGTGCAGGTTTGTCGCACAGGTAAACGTGTGCCATGGTGGCTTGCTGCACAAACCATCTCATCATCTCAGTATTAAGCCCAGCATTTCTTCCTGATGTTCTTCCCCCACACCCCTATCACCCCCCAACAGACAGGCCCCAGTGAGTATTGTTCCCCCCAATGTGTCCTCGTGTTTTCGTCATTCAGCTCCCACTTATAAGTGAAAACATGCGGTATTTGGTTTTCTCTTCCTGCATTAGTTTGCTGAGGATTATGGCTTCCAAATCCATCTATGTCCCTGCAAAGGACATGATCTCATTCTTTTTGATGACTGCAGAGTATTCTATGGTGTACATGCACCACGTTTTCCTTATCCAGTCTATCATTGATGGGCATTCAGGTTGATTCCATGTCTTTGCTATTACGAATGAACATATGCATGCATGTTATCTTTATAGTAAAATGATTTCTGTTCCTTTGGGTATATACCCAGTAATGTGATTGCTGGGTCAGATGGTATTTCTGCAGAGGTCTAGGTCTTTGAGGAATCACCACACTGTCTTCCACAATGGTTGAGCTAATTTACACTCCCACTAGCAGTGTCAAAGCATTCCTTTTTCTCTGCAACCTCTCCAGCATCTGTTATTTTTTAACTTTTTAATAATAGCCGTTCTGACTGGCCTGAGATGGTATCTCATTGTGGTTTTGATTTGCATTTCTCTAATGATCAGTGGTGTTGAGCTTTTCTTCATGTTGTTGGCTGCATGTATGTGTTCTTTTGAGAAGTGCCTATTCATGTCCTTTGCCTGCTTTTTAATCGGGTTACTTTTTTTCTTATAAATTTGTTTAAGTTCCTTGTAGACTCTGGACATTAGACCTTTGTCAGATGGATAGATTGTGAAAATTTTCTCCCATTCTGTAGGTTGTGTGTTCACTCTGATGATAGTTCCTTTTGTTGTGCAGAAGCTCTGCAGTTTAATTAGACCCCATTTGTCAATTTTTCCTTTTGGTGTTTTCGTCATAAAATCTTTGCCCGTGACTGTATCCTGAATGATATTGCCTAGATTTTCTTCTAGGGTTTTCATAGTTTTTCATTTTACATTTAAGTCTTTAATCCATCTTGAGTTAATTTTTATATATATTGTAAAGAAGGGGTCCAGTTTCAGTTTTCTGCATATGGCTAGCCAGTTTTCCCAGCATCGTTTATTAAATAGGGACTCTTTCCCCCCATCACTTCTTTTTGTTTGTTGAAGATCAGATGGTTGCTGGTGTGCAGTCTTATTTCTGAGTTCTCTATTTTGTTCCGTTGATCTATGTGTCTGTTCTTGTACCAGTATCATGCATGTGTTCTTTAATTCTGCAATAATTTGATGGTTTTTCAGATATCCTCCAATTAATTGATTTCTGGTTTAATTCTGTTTTCATGTAAAAACACACTCTGTATGGTTTCTACTGATTTTAAATAGTTGAGGTTTATTTTGTAGCTCAGAATATGGTATGTACTGGTGAATGTTCCACATACCCTTATATAAAAAGTATGTTCTGCTGTTGAGTGGAACATTTCTATAAATGTCTATTAGGTCTTGATAGTGTTTTGCGGGTCTTTTATGTTCTTCCTGATTTTCTATTTATGTGTCCCATTAATTACCGAGAGTGGATTATTGAAGTCTTCAGCTCTGATTATGGATTTATTTTTTTCAGTTTCCGCTCCTTTATTTCGAAGCTCTATTGCGTACACACTTAGGATTGTTATGTTCATGGGATGACCTATATCATTATGTAATGCTCCTGTTTATCCTTCATAATATTCTTTGCTCTGAAGTCCACTTCGTCTGATATTAGTATAGTTTCTGCAGCTGTATTTTAGTTATTGATTTATGGTATATCTTTCCCCAAACTTTTATTTTCAGCCTACTTATGTCTTTATATCAATATTTAAAATGCGTTTCTTATATACAGTATATACATGGGACTTGCATTTTATTCAGTCCTAGTCATTTCTGTCTTTTAATTTATGTGTTAGACCACCCCTTTTAATGTTATTATTTGTGTAATTGGATTAAAATGTACCATATTGGCAACCGTTTTCTGTTTGTTTCATTTTTGGGTTTCAGTTTTCTTTTGATGCCTTCTCTAGTATTAACTGAGTGTTTTTTATGATTCTGTTCTATTTCCTCTACTGACTTATTATTTATACTTTTAAAAAATTGTATTTATCTACCTTCAGATAATATTACATTGCTTTACATGGAGCCTATAGACTTTACTGCAGTTTATACACAGCTCCTTCTTTCCGTGCTTTATGCTATTGTGGCCATACCTTTTTACATTTACATCTACTGTGAACGCACAGTACATTGTTTTACACATTCAGGTATCTTTTAGAGCAATTAAAAAATAAGAAAAAAAATTGTGTCCCCATTTATTCTATTTTCACTGCTCTTTGTTTGTTTGTGTAGATCCGGGCCTCCATCTGATGTTGTGTTCCTTCTGCCTGAGGAACTTCCGTTTAACATTTATTGTCCACTAGGTCAAGCAGCTGGCAATGAATCCCCTCAGTTTTTGTTTTTCTAAGAAAGTCTGTATTTCTCTTTCATCTTTGAAAATTATTTTCAATGGGCATAGAATTCTGGATTTAACAGTTTTCTTGATATTGTTACCATATTTTTTATTTGCACCATTTTCATTGGATTCTTTTTAATAGTTGTCAGCACTCAGCTGAAAGTCCCATCTGTTATTGTCTACCTTTCCCTTTAGAGCCTTCAAAATATGAACCATAGTTATTTTAAATTCTCAGTCATTTCTAACATAGGTGTCATATCTGACTGTGGTTCTGATTATTGCTTTGTCTCTCTGAAGTATGTTTTTTTCTTGCCTTCTTGTATGCCTTGTAATTTTGTGTTGAAAGCTGTACATCTTGTGTAAGACAGTAGAGACCCATGGAAATTGTTTGTATCCTAGAAATGTGCATGCCTCTCCTTCCTAGAGGCCTTTAGTGTGGGAGTTAGAGTTTATCTAGTTAGGAGTTTGCTAGGTTTGAGAGATTTGTTGGCAGCTATCCTCACTGCAGGAAAGGCTTCATGTTCCTGTAGAGATACCTTGTGTTTTGGCTGGGGGTTGGATCACAAGAACATCACCTGTTCAGTTCTAGTTTTAGGTCTTCCTTTTGCACTATGCCTCAGAAAGGGTCTCTCTGCACATTCTTGTTCTCCTGTTTCTCTCCAAGCACTGTTTTGTTACCTGTAATGCTAAGCTCCTTAGCTTGACATTGTGGGGCAAGGAGGAGGATGGGGTGCTGTCTCTGTTCCGATTGAGTTACAGTCTCGTACCTGCACCATTTTCTTAGGTTTCTGGGCTGTGACCTTCTCAGTTCTCCTCCCTCTCCCCCAAGTGTTGTGGGAGTTTCTGTGTAATCCTGTCCCTCCCCAAGGAGACAGGTTGTATGTGTATGTTTTTCCTGTTCCCTTTCCACACTGCAGTGAGTTTTCAGCAGTGTCCTAAGGACAACAGTGCGTGCCGCCCTTCTCCTCACAGGATAGGTCTTTTGTTTTCCTGGTGGAGACAGGGGAGATGGATCCAGGTGTAGTTCCTTGCCACTCCTCTAGAGTTACTGCTTCTCTCCCCCATATCTGGAACACAGCGGACACTTCTTACCCCACCCTCCTGTGAGCACCTGGGTGATGGTCATGGCATAGATCCTGTGTGAGAATGTAACCCTCAGAGGTTTCACACAATCTTGGCAGCCCACTCTTGACTCTAACCAGATACTTGAGCGGGACTCCCCTGACTGGGGTTCTGTTGTGTCTGCCCTCGGTGACACAAGCTTGTGTCTCCTTAGATTTTGGGCTGTTGATTATCTGGGACCTCGGCTTATTGATGGGTTTGGAAAAAGTTAATAAGTTTAAAGTTAGGCTGTACGTGTGTGTGTGTGTGTGCGCGCGCGCGTGCACGTGCACGCTTGTGTGTGTGTTTAACGTAAACAGGTCCCATCCTTGTTAGACTTTACAGCAAGAGCAGCCTTGAATGAAATCATCCTTTCTCTCCAGTAACTTATTCTCCCAGTCATTCAGTTCTCTTTAGTCTTTTTACAAATTTTACTTCTTTAAAGAAGATGCGTCTCCAAAAAAAAAAAATACCTAATTTGCTACTGATGTGGCAAATTCAAGTCAAATTGAGGATGACTCGAATTTTACAATGCCAAACAATCCTGATGGCCAACTGTCTTATTCTTCCCCAGGGCCTTCTCCTCAGCCAGGGCGGAGGCTCGTTGTGGGCAGGGTCCTTGTCTTTTATAATCCTCGCAGAGTTGCCAAACCTATAAAAAATTTTTAAAATAGGCAAGGTAGAGAAGTAGCTGAGGTGCAGGAGTCTGGGTATTTACCCAGAAATCACACATTCTGTCTCCAGCATAGGCCCCTAGAGCCAGTCAATACTTTGGTATTATTTTATTTCATTACTTATTTTACAGCATAATAGTAGAACCCTAAAAGCAAAAGCCTTATGAAATCACATGCTAACAGAACCTAAATGCATGTTTCATCTTAGAGTTTTTTAATTATAAAAGTAGCACACGTTTGTGATAAATAATGTAAAATGTCAAGTTCTTTTCATCCCCTAGAAATAATCACCCTCCAATCTTTTCTATGGGTCTTCTAAGGCTTTTCTCTAAACTCATTTTTGTCATATACAAAGAAAAAGTAAAAAATTAATATCTAGGCCATTTGGGAAAGGCAGCCTATTGCTTGTTGCTCTGTTTACATGTTTGTCTCTTTTCAAAAAAATACCTGTAAGTGCAGAATGTATCACAGCTAAACTGTACATTGTCTAATGTCATCTTTATTATATCTCAGTGACATTCCTCCCCCATAACTAAATTTTATTAAGCTTTCAGTGGGAAAGAGCCTCTAATTTGCAAGATTTTGAAAATGTGAAGAGTTTAAAAGTTCCACATGAGCTTATGAGATTTTTGAAACTATTTCCTGGATCATCTTGAAGATTCCTTGTTAAACTCAGTTTCACATGATGTTAAGAGGCTGATACTAACGACTTTTAGATAATATCCCCCTTTCTATGAGGAATGGGTTGAATCATATCACAGAAGAAATTGACAGGAAATTGTAGCATCTCTCTGAGTAAATAAGAAGGCTTACACATTAGGTGAATATGACGACACGGAGGACCATTGAAACATGCCTGTGTCAACCAAAAGAAGAAGCTAAAGCACAAAGTGTGGTTGAAAGAGTTGACTTGAGCCAGAATAAGGACAGCTGCCCAGATGACTCACCCAAACTGCTTGCTTGGCCTTTGTTACAGGCAGATTTTTAAAGGCAAAAAGAAAAAAACAAAAACAAAAAAACAGGAGGCAGGGGAGGGGGGCCGGTGTTACCGAGTAGACTGTTAGACAGTTCTGTCAGGAATTCTCATGGATATACAGAAGTAACAGTGATTAGTGACTGCCTGTCCACGGTTAAGCTATAGAATGTGGGATATAGTGTCCAGTGCCACATTACTAGGTTAATTCACAGCTACCTGTGGCAATGGGAAGCAGCTTCAGTAAAGTGTGGAGTAGGATGTGATTGCTGTCTCATCTTAATGCCTCTTTGGGGCCTAGTAATTTGAAAGGGCCCACATTCCTCAGATAAAAGTCCTTTTCTTTCCTCATCTATAATACTATTCAAATCTAAAGAAAATGTATGTTGCTCACAGATACCAACAGCCATCAGTTTTTTGTGTTTGATTTAATTTGTTCAGTAAAAGGAAGATACAAAATAGGGAAAAAGCTCAGGAAAAGAGTTGCGTTGAACTCTTTATTAATTTTATATGTAGTTCAGTTGTGTTTTAAAGATTTTCAAGTGCAATCTTAGAGGCCTTCATTTCCTTGTTTCTTGATTACCCTCCACCTGCCTCATTCCCCTTCTGAGAGTCATTTCCCATTCCTCGTCCCTGACCCCGGCCCCTCCCGCAGAGCTGCCCTCCTCTGAATCCTGATGGCCAACTGTCTTATTCTTCCCCAGGGCCTTCTCAGCCAGGGCGGAGGCTCGTTGTGGGCAGGGTCCTTGTCTTTTATAATCCTTGCAGAGTTGCCAAACGTATAAAAAATTTTTAAAATAGCACTTGTGCACTTGGAAAGCATTCCATCACATACCTCTTGGTTGTTTTTATTAGATGAAAAACAGAGATTCAGTTATGAGCGATCTGGATATGATCTTGAAGAATCTGATGGCCCAGATGAGGATGACAATGAAAATGAAGACGATGATGAGGACAGCCAGGCTGAATCAGTCCTGTCAGCCACACCCTCAGTCACAGCTAGCCCGCAGCACCTTCCATCTAGAAGTAGCCTTCAGGACCCTGTGAGTACTGACGAGGATGTCAGGATCACCGATTGCTTTTCTGGGGTACACACGGACCCAATGGACGTTCTGCCCAGGGCGCTGCTCACCAGAATGACTGTCCTGAGCACAGCACAGTCTGACTACAATAGGAAGACACTCTCTCCGGGGAAGGCCAGGCAGCGTGCTGCGAGAGATGAAAACGACACAATTCCGTCTGTAGACACTTCCAGGTCCCCGTGTCATCAGATGTCTGTGGACTACCCTGAGTCAGAAGAAATTCTGAGAAGTTCTATGGCAGGAAAAGCTGTTGCTATAACACAGGTAAATGATTGGCAGTTGTTCTTTTATTTCTTTTTTCGTTTTAACCTATTAAATATGGAGAACTTAATGGCTTAAGAAAATAATGCACTTAAGTGATTTTTTTAGGCCAAATCAGTTTGTATAGCTTTATTTTTTTCTTGTATTTAAGGGTAGAGGGTATTTTTGCCCTTTGGAGTCTTGTTGAGTATCTTAAGCAGTTCAGATATTTTATTGTAAATCTATGAAAGAACCAAATGGTTCTTGAAAAATACACCCATTTATTTTTATTTGCTTTTTGAAAAATTTTTGAAATTAAAAAAAAAAAAAAACGTGACAGTGGCGAACACAAGTCCCGCAACTGATTTATCTGCTGGCCCCTTCTGAGCAGTTTCTCCACTGGTGCTGATGTGATGATGGATTTTCACTGACTTACCCAAACATTTTGCACTTTGCCCCCATTGGCAAGACAGCTACCAGTTTCTATGGCAAAGTTAATGTGACCCGAAAACACATCAAGAAGTTCACTTTGCTTGAATTATCACATTGCTACAGCAGCTTGGGAGAGCTTTCTGCCCAAGAACTATCTCAAGGCAGGCACAGGCCTCTGAAAAGTCACGCTCCATGTGCTGTGAGTGAGTCCCTGCTCTACCTCTGGCTGTTTTGTGACAAATGATTAATTCTGGGAGGAATACATTCTTCCCTCATTGACAGTTCTCTTACCTCTAGTATGTATTGAATATTGCAATAGGATTTATGCCTAATTGTGGCAGATTGTGCTGTAAGCGTCTCTATCCCAAAACCTCTCAGACACTTACCAGTGCCTGGAAATCTGGTTTTCAGTAGACATTTCATAAACTTGCAAGTGATAGACAAACAACCAGAGAACTTTTTCATAGTAACATCTCTTCACAAATAATTCTTTAGTTCATTTTTCCCCATTGAGTTGACATAGCCAACTTGAATCTCAATTTCTCAGTAACTCTTAATCTCTAAAATAAGGTGGAGCTGGTAGTGCCAGAAACAGAAATAATAACAAAAATAGCAGCTTAAGAATATAGCTGTGTCCACTTCTCAGAGTTATTCTCTGTGTACAATATGACAAAATCCAGGAAATTTGCTTCAGACATGCAAAAGACTATACAAGATGTATTGCCATTATTTCTACCAGAAACGAAATTAAAGATGTAATAATTGTTTAATTGGAAGCTTATTTTTAAAAATCGAAAAATAATTTCATTGCAGCAAACATCATTTTTATCAATGCAAATATACTTACTTTTATCTCATTGTGAAGAAATAGATTTAGCACTAGCTTTATATCTCAGTGATTACAAAAGACCTGTCATAAAAGGATTGCTCTCTCTTGTCATTTAGAGCCCATCATCTGTAAGACTTCCTCCTGCTGCAGCTGAGCACAGCCCCCAGACAGCAGCGGGGATGCCTTCTGTGGCCTCACCACATCCTGACCCTCAAGAACAGAAGCAGCAAATAACTCTACAGCCGACTCCAGGCTTGCCTTCTCCCCACACTCATTTGTTTAGCCACCTTCCTTTGCATTCCCAGCAGCAATCGAGGACACCTTATAATATGGTTCCAGTTGGGGGGATCCATGTGGTACCTGCTGGCCTCACATACTCCACGTTTGTGCCCCTTCAGGCTGGACCAGTGCAGCTCACGATCCCTGCTGTCAGTGTCGTTCACAGAACTTTGGGTACTCATAGGAATACGGTCACAGAAGTGTCTGGCACTACAAACCCTGCTGGAGTGGCTGAATTAAGCAGTGTTGTGCCATGTATTCCTATCGGCCAAATCCGCGTGCCAGGCCTTCAGAACCTAAGTACCCCAGGCTTGCAGTCACTCCCCTCGTTAAGCATGGAAACCGTCAATATTGTAGGCCTAGCCAATACAAATATGGCCCCACAAGTCCATCCACCAGGACTGGCTCTGAATGCTGTCGGACTGCAGGTTCTGACTGCAAACCCTTCATCACAAAGCAGCCCCGCCCCTCAGGCACACATTCCAGGTCTCCAGATCTTGAACATAGCATTGCCCACCTTAATCCCCTCAGTCAGTCAAGTAGCCGTTGATGCACAGGGAGCTCCAGAAATGCCAGCTTCCCAAAGCAAAGCATGCGAGACACAACCCAAGCAGACTTCTGTAGCCAGCGCAAACCAGGTCAGCAGGACCGAGTCTCCTCAGGGGTTACCTACAGTCCAGCGGGAAAATGCAAAAAAAGTTCTGAATCCACCTGCCCCTGCAGGTGACCATGCAAGGCTTGATGGCCTGAGTAAAATGGACACAGAGAAGGCTGCCTCGGCAAATCACGTGAAGCCCAAGCCTGAACTCACTTCCATACAGGGCCAACCAGCGTCCACGTCACAACCTCTGCTGAAGGCACATTCTGAAGTTTTTACAAAGCCCTCAGGCCAGCAGACTCTCTCTCCAGACAGACAGGTTCCCAGGCCCACAGCACTACCGCGGAGGCAGCCCACTGTGCACTTCAGCGACGTGAGCAGCGATGATGACGAGGACAGGCTTGTGATAGCAACCTGATGGATTTTATTTTTTATTTGCTTTTTTTTTATATAACACTTAAAGGTTTCTTTGAAAACCCTCCTTTCCTTAAAGCACATTTTTCTGACATAAACTCATGACTAATCTTTGTGCAATCATGAACTTTTGACCAATAATTGTTGTTTTGTGTCAGCTCCAGCCATTTTTGTACATGTTGTATAGACAATTGTGCCTTTTAGGAGCTTTATGTTTAGAAACTGTACAGATTGTTGAATATCTATATACATAAAAATATATTATATATGTATATGAAAACCAGGTAGTTATTTGTGTTTAGTAAGGAAAACCTGTCAAATAAATCAAATGATTAAATTATATGTTCCACTGTTGAATATAAATTTTATGGCTATGGGGCAGAGTTTCTGTGTATAAATTAGTATGTAAACTCCATATTTATTGTATTCATATTAGTCTTTGAAAATGGGTCTGTCCTCCTTGTGTAAGACAGTAACTTTACACTTCAGACAGATTTTCTGTGTTATGAAATGTTTCAGTAAAATATTGTTTACTGACTTTACCATTGCTTCAGTTGTGCCTTCTTTATATCATCCAGTGATCAGTGATCTGCATTTGGAAAATAGCCCTGGGTTCCATTCTTTCCACATTCCCCTCAACCCTTCATTTTTTTTATAAACAGAGACTTTACTCGCCTTTCTACCATGTGAAACTGTAACTGAAATCCATACAACTGATTGACCTATTTTTCTTATTTGTGAGAAGTCATTTCATAGTTATTATTAGAAGACTAAATATATAAGAATACTTTCTGTATATACATAAAGCATATAGCCTAAAATGGGCAACGTTCCTAAATGAGGGTATGGAAATTTCTGGGAAACATGAGTTAAACCCCATTGTCCTTAGAATTTGGCTCAGATGAGACCCGTATAACCTCATTTCCAGGCTCCAACACCAGATCCATTCGTGGGCTATGGGCTCTTCTTTCCCTTGATGCTGTTAAACTCACAGAGCTCTGTCCAGCACTGAACTACAGAGTGTCCAAGATTACCGAAGAGCCAAATTCAGACTTCTAAATTACTTAAGTGACTCTCTTTAGACATTACTATTTCCTGTCCTGGAAGGTTGAACCATCCTTATTCAGGAAAATATGGCGGCATGGGGAGCCCCCAATTACCAGTGCAGTGATTTGCATTATTAATGATTATAGATGCTAGGTTTATGAGAAAAGTATTTTAATGTTGGAATTTAAATACTTAGCACATCATTAAGTCAATGTATTCACATTTTTAAAGGCTTGCTTAACAAAGATTGCAGAGACATGAAATAAGTAAGACAACAGCATGGTTTGCGAGGTGAGAGGTAGGGGACAGCCTATCTACTAAGGGGTTTGGAGACCTGCTGCTAGCCAACCCAGCTTCACGTCTGTGACTTTGCAAAGACCTGGCATTTCAACTTGCGTATCCTTATCTCAATTAGGATCTCCAAGGTGTGCTGCAGTCCCAGCACGCACTGGTGGATCTGTGATGCTTTAAATGAATGCTTCAATTTACATTTACATATTTCCATAGATTAAGTAACAAAATTCTCTCAAAAACAATAAAACTACATTTTTATATTCTGAGATAGCTTTGGAAAGAATTCTGGAAATATCTGCTCTAGGGATTGCGTTGCCCTATCAATAATAGCTGTTGAAAATGAGGTCTGTTTTCTGTCCAGTTTCTCAAAATTAATGTTTTAACTGTGTCATGAACTTTTTATTGCCTAAAATTTTAAAGCAGTATAATAAGCATATTCTTAACTCCATAATTAAGTACAGATGACTTCTCTAAATTCAAAAATAATGCTTGGAGTTTTTAGCATTGAGGTTTTTTAGTTTCTATAGAATTTTCTTAATTTAAAAAATTCCTATACTTAAAGACAAGTGTTACGATGTGAGTGGATGTTCCCTTGAAATTTTCATAATGCTGTAATGTACCTTACTCTTATTTTGTACTTTTCAAGATTCTTATTTTGGGCTTTTCAAAATTCAATGCATCGTGCAAATACCTTTACTATTGGCAACTTTCAAGCTTTATTGTAGCCTTTCAAGTATTTTGCTAGTATTTGAAATATGCAGCTCTATAAAAAATATTACCAAAGTCTAAGCCATTATATTTTGAAATTACATGCACAAAATAGACAAGGGAACAATAATTTTGTGCTATTTCTCCGAAGTCGTCTTTTCCCAAGGAGCAGTGTCCACTTGATACTCCCAAATATAAACGACTTCCAAATAATGTAATTCGGAGAACTAATGGGACTACATTTGACTTTTATTCTGTTGCACTGTCGTGTGTGGAGACCCAGGCCTGTAGAGAACTAGGGTGCAATGACATAGTAAGATAATTTATTGACAAAACAGGTGAAAGTTTTAATGTGTAACAATTTCAATACCTTGTGTGAATCCACTGCAATGCCATCATCAGAAGTACTGGAAAAAACAGCTGAAGAACCACAGGTCGTTTTTCTAGTTAAAGATTATTATATCTGGCTTATGAAAATGTATTATAACATAAATCGAGGGCGTTCCAATAACTTATTTTCATTCCCTAAACTTTAAGCCAAAATGATAATTATTTCTTTCGAAATGATAATTAACCGATGGTATTGAATGTACAAATTTTGTTTCTCAGTTATATTTTTCATAATATAGACCTGATTTTCCTTTCACAGAAACAGTATAAGTAACACGTTTCTTACTAATTAATCCCTGGCCTGAATTTTAAATGATAGCAGTTAATAAGGATTATGGAAAATAATCATTATTTTTGTTGGAAGACTGTCAAGATAGTTAATAGATCTTGATTCATGCTCAGTTCAAATTATAACATCAGGGTTCTTTTTGACTTTTCTGTTTTTCATCTTACATTTTGCAGTCAACTTCAAATAATACCAGAAAGATGATTTTCATTAATTTTGTTTCAAAACCATCTATAAATTCTAAATACAGCATGTATATCACCTTAAGAATCTTCTCTCAAAGTGACTTCCCATGACTTAAAATTCTAAATTTCCTACTTAATATTCAAAATATGTATTTTGTAATATATATTTGTATATATATAATATATGTATATATTACATGCATGTTATATATACGTTATATTACATGTATATATACATGTTATATTACATGTATATATACATGTTATATATACATATACATATATATGTTATATATACATATATACATATATGTGTATAATATATATACATATATACATATATGCATAATATATATACATATATACATGTGTATATGTGCGTGTATAATATATACATGTACATGTGTAGATGTGCGTATATAATATATACACATGTACATGTATAGATGTGCGTATATAATATGTACACATGTACATGTATAGATGTGCGTATATAATATATACACATGTACATGTATAGATGTGCGTATATAATATATACACATGTACATGTATATCTGCGTATATTATATATACATGTACATGTATATATGTATATATTATATATACATGTACATGTATATATGTATATATTATATATACATGTACATGTATATATGTATATATTATATATACATATACATATGTGTATATATACATATATATGTGTATATATACATATATACACATACACGTATATATGTATATTATATATACATATATACGTGTATATCTATATTATATATACAGATATACGTGTATATCTATATTATATATAGATATACGTGTATATATACATATATACATATATACATATATTATATACATATATATTATATATACAGATATACGTGTATATATACATATATACATATATTATATACATATATACATATATACATATATTATATACATATATATTATATAATTATATATACATGTATATGTATATATTATATACATATACATGTATATATGTATATATATAATATTTTATATAATATATTTTAGTGGCAATAACTCCCTGCTCTCATTACCAAGTGGGGAAAAAAAGGAGAAAAGGTTTAAAGCAAGAATAGCAAAATGTTTTTCTATACAAATTATATACAGACTGTTCACAACTTACTATGGTTCAATTTAATGATTTTTTCAACTTTACACTGATGTGAAAATGATAAGCATTCAGTAGAAACCATACTCTGAATTTTGATATCTTTCTGTGCTAGCAATATAGGGTTTGATCTCTTATGATGCTGGGCAGCAGCAGGAGCCAAAGCTCCCAGCCAGCTACGTGATTGTAACCACAAACACACTACAGTGCACTGTATTCAATACATTATACGAGATATTCTAGACTTTATTTATTTTTAAATAAATAATTGTTAGATGATGTTGTCCAACTGTAGGCTAATGTAAGTGAGCACGTTTAAAGTAGGGTAGGCTAAGCTATGTTGTTCAGTAGGTTAGATATATTAAATGCTTTTTTGTCGTTGTTGTTGTTGAAACAGTCTTGCTCTGTTGCCCAGGCTGTAGTGCAGTGGCGCAATCTCAGCTCAGTGCAACCTCTGCCTCCCAGGTTCAAGTGATTCTCCTGCCTCAACCACCCGAATAGCTGGAATTGCAGGCACACACCACCACACTGGCTAATTTTTGTATTTTTAGTAGAGATGGGGTTTCACTGTGTTGGCCAGGCCAATCTTGAACTCCTGACCTCAAGTGATCCGCCTGCCTCGGCCTCCCAAAGTGCTGAGATTACAGGCATGAGCCACTGTGCCCGGTAAATGCATTTTTTATTTAGGATATTTTCAATTTACAATAGATTCATTGGGATGTAACCCCATGGTAAATCAAAGAACATCTGTAATCTGAAAGTCATGATGCATTTACTTAAATATATTGGATTCCTAGTCTTTGCACACACAGGTTTATCTGGAACCTTGCTTATAAAGGTTCTCTGGAAGGCACTGTAGGCATAAGAGACATTATCTGCTCCTAGGTGTTCACTGTCTTCTGAATCTGGCTTGGGTTTGAAGAAAACGCCCAGACATCCAAAATCCAGTAATAATTTAAGTACCAACCAACTCCAAAAGAAATTAGAAGGTACAGTTTCTACCCCAGAGGAGAATGCCTGCTTAAGACAGATCAGGTAAACTAGGACATGACAATAGACCACATCATAGAGACCACAGACTTTAAAAATGTATGAGAGTTAAGAAAGTGATTGTCTTAAGAAGTTAAAGAATGATTTGTGTATACAGGGGATTGCTGTATTTTGAAGGAGGTATGGGATTTGGGACTTTAGAATATACATGATGCTAAGGAGTAGAACAAAAATAGTAGTCATGAAGTCTAAGACAAATGTGTGCCAGGGACCAGTCTAAGTGGAAGAGAGGATTCACTCAGACATTCGATAATATTTATTTAGCACCAATAGTGTAGAAAGCACTTTGGGACCTGTAATCCCAGCACTTCGGGAGGCCAAGGTGGGCAGATCATGAGGTCAGGAGATAGAGACCATCCTGGCTAACACAGCGAAACCCTGTCTCTACTACAAATACAAAAAAAGTAGCCGGGGGTGGTGGTGGGCACCTGTAGTCCCAGCTACTTGGGAGGCTGAGGCAGGAGAATGGCATGAACCTGGGAGGCAGAGCTTGCAGTGAGCTGAGATCATGCCGCTGCACTCCAGCCTGGGCGACAGAGTGAGACTCTATCTCAAAAAGAAAAAAAAAACTTTGGGAATGCAAATTTGATGCAAATTAAATGATGCCTGTCCTTCAGGAGCTTCAGTTCTAGTAGAAGAGTAAGTAAGCAAGATGCAAGGTATCTTGAATGGCAAAAGAAGGTACCACCGAGTCCAGCAGGAGTGCGAATGAAGGAGAATTCCTGGCTGAGTTGATGAGGGAGTGCTTCAAAGAGAATGAGACATTTAAATATGGCCTTGAAGGGACTTGGTTAAGCAGAGACAGTGGATGAGACAGAACAGACAGAAGCACTGTGGAGGAGAATCCGTATTTATCCCTACGGCGTGCCATCTATAATCTTATGTAATCATTCCAAGCAGGAAGGATTATCTCTTCGTTTTATAGGTGGAGAGGCTGCAACTCACAGATGTGATGAAACCTTGCCATGCAGATGCTGGGATTTGAAGCCAGGATGGTGTGATGCAACAGCATAACACATAAGCAAATAGTAGGGAACGTGAAAGGGCATTGAGACCAAGGGAATAAACCACATTTTGGGATTTAGCAAGGCATCTGACGAAGCCGCAATAATATTATGGTTGGATTTAAGGATGATTAGTACGGTGGGCTCGTCAAGTGGAAAGAGCAATCAGTGGGTCAGAGCACTACAGGGAAAGGAGCACGGGCTGTGGACTCCAGAAACCATCACTGTCACTTTTCTAATGTGTTAATAACTTACGGGAGAGTGAAGCAGTCACAGGACACAAAAGTAAGGAGGAAAGGGAAGTAATGCAGAGGAGGGTGGAAGCAATCACGAGTGACCCAGTGCCAAGCTGGCCACAGTATTCTTTCTTTTTAGTTGGCGGACTGAATAAAATAGAGGAAACATTTGTTGATGACCCAAATAGGTCAGGATCAGTGTCCAGAAGATTCAACCAAGTGGAGAGATGGGCTGAATATGAATAAGACAATTTAACAAGAAAGCAAAAGCCTTGGCACTTGGATTGAAAATTTAAGTGTACTAAAAAACAGCAGTTTGCTTTGCACAAAGTTCAGTATGTGCCACCCTCATCCCTCCCTCTCCCAAGAAAAAGCCTAATCTGGGGCATAGTAGAAATACGTTATTTATTTTTTATTTTATGTTTTGTAGAGATGGGATTTTGCTATGTTGCCCAGGCTGTTCTTGAACTCCTGACCGCAAGCAATCCTACTGCCTCAGCCTCCCAAAGTGCTGGGATTACAGGCAGAGCCACTACGCCCAGCCAGAAATCCATGATTTCATAATACATTATGTAAAACCACACTCTATACCCTCATGATCAGAGCATTCTGGGAGCATCCTCCATAATCGGACTCCAGGCTTGAACAAGATACAGACAAAAGAGCACATTCTGAGGCCATCAGGCTCTGAGGCCAAGCTCACAGTGGCCCCTGTGAGAGGGGCTGGAAATAGGATAATCTGGCGGGTTCCTCACCTGATAGCTAAGGACACACCTAGGGAGAGTCACAGAGCAGAAATAATAAAAAAGAAGTTGCCTTTCTGGTGGAAGGAGAGAGAGTTCAGGGATTGTGAAAGAAGAGAAAGTGGGCTATTGTGAGGGAAATGCCATGTCCCCGTTCATTTTTGTGTAAAACTAAGCTGAACCTCACAGCAAGAAGCTAGTGGGAATTCATGGCTCACAGCTAAAGCTCATATTTGCATAATAATCAGACATAAATATGGAAGAACATAGTGATTTCTCTTCAAGGAAGACTGCAAGGTTAAACATTCTAGTATGATTCACGCCAATCCTCTAAGATGTATTGGGATCAGCCGGGGAGGCAATGCTTAGCTGTTCACCCCTCCACTTGATTCTCAAGCGAGTTCTGAATGGACACCACCTCCAAGAGCTCGGACTCTGACAACTAGATCTGCTCTGAGAAAGTAGACAGAGGCAGCTGAGAAGAGCCTGGGACTCAAACCCATGACCCACCCACATTCCATCATCTGGGAGAAGGACCAGGCGGACATTTCTCTAAGTCAGGAATCAAGTTTTGTTCATTTTGTAGATTTGGCCTTTCAGACATAATTAAAAGTCCCCATGACATTTAACAAAAGTTTTCTAATTACTTTGCTTTTGTTCTCTGAGAAGCTAGGGCTGTCTCATTCCATCATGCCTGAGGTGTACATTAGATATTGTATTAAGGGTTTATTTCAGCACACTGAACAACTGTTCTTTTGAGGTGCTAGATTGTTACTGGGAACTAGATTGTTACTGGGGACTGCATGCTCAGGTAAGGATGGAAAAGTGGAAATTAAGGACCTAAATAAGTTTTAAGTTTTATTTCCCCACCACCTAGACCATAAATCTCATTCTGAAAAAAAATATAGCTGATTTTGGTAATTATTAAGACACCTCAAATTAAACAGGAAATTTTCCTGGCTCAAAGAGATATTGATAAATGACTTTTCAAAGATAGGTAAATTTTCTTACTTAAACTAACAAGATATTAGATTTAAATTTTGAGATTATAGGTCATGCTCTGTTGGTATGATAGTGTTTTATTAAAAAAACTCACATTTTATATAGTGCAGTATTTTTAATTTTAACATTTACAACAGATATTGCATTATATGAAGTCATTCTCACATTGTGGTTGAGATAATTGCTCAGGGTTGCAAAGCTAGTTAAGTAGTGAGGCTGGGAGTTAAAACACGGTCCTTTTTTTTTTTTTTCTACTGTTCCATGCTGCTTTTTCAGTAATGATTTATGATAATTGGGTTGTATTGTATTCATTTCTAGGTGAAAGTCTATTTAGTATTCATAAAACATCCCATTTAAATTTTCTACAAAAACGAGTATGTCCAGTGCCATGCATATTTGTATAAATAATAGATTTTGTAACCTTTTTCTTTGCCCTTTCTCACAACTGATATAATAGGAGCCATAAAAATATTTAGTGAAGAAACATTTAACTTAAATAGCAGGAGATAAAAGAGCAATCCAAAGTGACAGTTCTAATCAAGCATAACACATGTAAACTTCCAAGTATATTAGGTTTCAGTTCTTCATCATTATTCAGAAAAATGTCTTTGTTACATGTCTTATGAGAAAAGATTGGAGGGAAGACAGTGGAGCAGCGATTCACATTGTTTTGAGTATTGACATTGTTGGAATACAGCATAACATATTATATTATGAAGTTCCTGAGTCTGATCTTTTCAGAAATATTTCCAAAAAGAAATGGAGCAATTTTCCATTACATTTTATAAAGAAGATAATTATTTAAACATATTTCTCCTAGGAAGGGGACAGCAAATTGCACTGCTTTTTATGTGCAGACTTTATGAGGGAAAGAAAGCGATGACAGGAACTTGGAAATGAAGGCGTTTATACATTTTAGCTATAAAAAGCGTAAGAGAGAAAAATAAATATTTGTTCTGTTTAGCAGATGATCCCATATTGCAGTATAAGGCAATAGAGGTCCCTACATATAAAACGTAACTTTTTTCTTTGTCTGATTCTTACTTTTGGTCCTGAAATGCAGACGTGAATAATTAGATAACTTTTATGATGTCTATATATCTGTGGGCTTGAAAAAGATATTTCACGAAGACCAATAGACATTTGTTATGTTGTTGAATTTGCTTGAGACAAGACATCTTTCATTCATTTGTTTTCAGTTACTTGAAAGACAGTATGTTTAGCTAGCTACCTATGAATGTTGCCAAATGAGATCTAAGGAAACCATGATAGGTGAAAGACATCAGGGCTTTACATTCCTGGAGATCAGTCATGGAAAGAAAAGCCAGCTCTGAGATCAGTCAATTAGCCAGGCATGCTTAGTTTTCTCTGCTAATAGCAAGGCTTATTTTTGCCCAGTAGGGTCAAATGTTAAGAACAGTTTTGATTCAGCAGTAGTGCCCTTTAATACATTTGAATTTATTTATTTCGGAACATCTCTATACTTTCATTACACAGCAAGACATTTTCTGTTCCTTCAACATTTTTATTTGCCAGAAGTAGTTTACGACTTCATGCAGTCTACTTATTATTCATACTCAACCATGTGCAATCATAATAATTATTGATTGAACAATCTGGTCTTCATTAAAAGTATGTTAACTATTCTAATGAAATAATATGCATCATTTCTAATCTACAAGGGTTGGAAACTTTTGAATTCATAATATTGATTATGAGAAACCAAATTTCAAAAAATATGTCTATGAGGAGAAAAATAATTTCTAAAATTTATTTTTTTTAAATCAGACCCAAATTATTAAAAACTTCACTTAACTAATGAAGTTAAATGCTTGATGAAAGCATTAAGCTCTGTTGGAAATAGTTGTAAAATATTTAGTATATGGTACATCAACCCTCTTTGATACTTAAGCAACCCTAGTACCCCCAGGTCAGTGCTCTGAAGGCCCTTTAAATGGAGATAAAGATCAGAACTGACACAGGGACCCCAGGGACCAATCCTGGAAAAATGTTTTGTTTGTTTTGTTTTGTAACTAAACAAATTCCTGTGAACCCTTTGTTGTCGTTTTTCTAAATCCTTCAAAAAAAGAAGAAGCATTTGGAAGACACAACAGATTCAGGCGACAAAACATTTCAAGTTTCTGCTACAGGTAGAATCGTATGTTCTTTAGAATTTCAGTTGAAATAGATAACATATTTCCATGATGGACTTGTATTGTCTCTTAGAGACACTTACAACTTTTGTTGTTGTTGTTGTCCTTGTTGTTGCTATTTAAATAACTCTCTTCAGCACGTAGAATACATGCCAAATGTATTTGTAAATGATTTGTAATGTAATTTAAGTGATTTGTAAATGAATGATTTGTAAAATCTGTACATTGCATTACTTCGGTCCAGAGTTAGGGGCCATTTAGATCTGGTGGCTGGTGTGAATGAACATAAGTTCAATCTCTGTTCAAGGTTTATTTCAATGACCATAGATTGTGTCTCTAACTGTTGAGTCATCTCACAAATTTATGACTAAATAGGGTGTGGGCAAGAGAGAACAGATTTACAAATACTATCTCAAGGCTTGTCATCTACATACTGCAACAATATTATTAGTATTGAATTAATAATTAATTGGTATCTAATGAATATTAATATTCGTATCTAATTACTGTTAAATAGTGCTGGTGTTTTCTAGTTTATCTGTCAAATCAAAACATTAGCTTAATTTTTTTAAGTATTTCATATGGAAACAATTTACCAGCTAATTGTCAAATTATTTATTTTCTGTGCTTCAGTTTTCTCATCTGTAAGTTAGGGCAAAAGTGCCAACATGAGAGGGCCTTTGGGAAGATAAAAACAGATAATATGCAAAGTATTTAACAAATCCTAGTGTATAGTAATATCCAAATAAATGTTAGCACTAGTTATTCAAGTTTTTCAATAATTTTAAATGCTTTCCAATAGAACAGATACTAACATTCATTCAACAAATACTTATGAAGCACGTATCACATGCAAGTCCATGGTCAGATGTGTATCTGTGACTATGTTCAAAACCACTTACACCCTATTTTTAAATACTGCGCTATGTTTAAAATGTTTCCTAAGTGCTTTGCAGAAAAACCAGACAAGGCAGAAATAAGTCAAATAAGCCAAACAGGTCATCTCTGACAGCTTATGTGAAGTCTTCTTTCTAAAAGTTCGAAAATGTGGAGTCTTTCTGTGCATTCACTAAGGGAGGATGGGCTGTCAGCTGGCGGAACAGTGTGTGAGATCTTTGTAGATGACGCGGCACCATCCAGAAGGGAGGGTACGTATTGCCTGGCTCTTCTGGGGTTGACTTTATTCTTGGTGCAACCTAACAGGGATTGGTCACAGAGAGGAGTGATCTTTGCATATGATTGCTACTGGGCCCTCCACAGAGTCCAGGCCTGTCCGGAGACCAGCATTAGACAACAAAGAAGCCTCCTGAGGCTGCGAGGAGCCCGTCAGCCACTTAGTGAGCTGCCTCTGCATCTCCAGTTCTGCTGGGATCCGGGATTCTTATTATGGCCTGGCAACCTCCAGGTTACTCACAACTGGCACAAGAGGGTATCTGAGTGACATTGTTAAGCAGTAATTAGAAACAGTTGATTAGTCAGAGTGGTATTTGGTTTGACTCGGGGTAATTTTGTTTTTGTAAGTCTTGGGTTTTTTTTTTTTTTTTTGAAACGAAGTCTCGCTCTTGTCCCCCAGGCTGGAGTGTGATGGCTGATCTCGGCTCACCAGAACGTCCACCTGCAGATTCAAGCGATTCTCTTGCCTCAGCCTCCCAAGTAGCTGGGATTACAGGCGCCTGCCATCATGCCTGGCTAATTTTTGTATTTTTAGTAGAGATGGAGTTTCACCATGTTGGCCAGGCTGATCTCTAACTCCTGACCTCAGGTGATCCACCTGCCTCGGCCTCCTAAATTGTTGGGATTACAGGCGTGAGCCACCGTGCCCGGCCAGTCTTGGGTATGTTTTTAGGAGCCGTTGGACTTCAGATATAAAAAGCAAGCTTGAGCTAACTCCTCCAGTTTCCCCATTTAGTAAATGAAGAAAGCGATGTCCAAAGAGGGTGAATACTCTCCATCCTTTAAAAAGGATACAAAGCATTGTTTTTTTTTCTTTTACATTTGTTTAAGTTCCTTACAGATGCTGGATATTAGACCTTTGTCAGATGCATAGTTTGCAAATATTTTCTCTCATTCTGTAGATTGTTTACTCTGTTGATATATTCTTTTGCTGTGCAGAAGCTCTTGTTTAATTAGATCCCATTTGTCAATTTTTGCTTTTGTTGTCATTGCTTTTGGCTATTCACAATAGCAAAGATATGGAATCAACCTAATGTGTGCCCATCAGTGACAGATTGTATAAAGCAAATGTGGTACATATACACCATGGAATACTATGCAGCCATGAAAAAGAACGAGATCATATCTTCTGCGGGAACATGGATGGAGCTGGAGGCCATTAACTTCAGCAAACTAACGCAGGAACAGAAAAACAAACACTGCATGCTCTCTCTTATAAGTGGGAGCTAAATGATGAGAACTCATGGACACAAAGAAGAGAACAGCAGACACTGGGATCTACTTGAGGGTGGAGGGTGGGAGGAGGGAGAGGAGCAGAAAAAACAACTATTGAGTACTAGGCTTAGTACCTGGGTGATGAAATAATCTGTACAACAAATCCCTGTGACACGAGTTTACCTGTATAACAAACCTGCACAGGTACCCCCAAACCTAAAATACAAGTTAAAAAAATAAAATGATACAAAGGGGCCATGTTCATGGTAGCTACCAGCACAGGCTTTGGAGACTGTGCTTGGGATTTTATTCTTCCTCCTCTACCTACAAGTTTTCTAAACTTGAGAAAGTCATTATATCTTCCTGTACCTAAATTTCTTCATCTATAAAATGGGCCTAATGATAATGTCAACCTCAGAAATTGCTGTGAATAAATGAGATCTTATGTAGGTGTTTAGTAAAGGACCTGTGTAGCCTGTATTAAGTGTTCAAAGTTCTCTCATTATTATTATTGTTGCATTGATTGTTATTAATCTGGGGAGACCAACGTTAGAAATTTGAAACCAGAAGATAATAACTGACAATCAAATGTCCCTTCTTGCTCTGAAATTTTGACTCTAAACCACAATGTGTCTTTCTAATAAGCTAGATAAGTGATAGGGGAATTTTTGTGTTTAGTAACATTTGTTTTTGTTATTTGTTATTCATTTGTATGTCTCCCGTGTCAGTATTCAAAGTACTTCAGAGAATCAGATACTAATACATAAAATTTATACTTGTAATGTAAAATATTTAAAAGAATTTGATTAATTTATAAAGAATATTTGAAAGTGTTTGCGTTGGGTTTATGTTTCTTGTGACTTTAATCTGAAATGTTTAAGATAACATTTCAAAGTATAACTATGAAAAGGGAAGCTATATGTTTACTAGGGAAAATATATAGTGCTATCTTTATGACATTGAGATAGGGAAAGGCTTGCAGGTAAGAAACAAAACCCCAAAATCATGAAGGCTCGTAAAGTCAAGTTCATCAAGAGGCAAAACTTTGGTACTACCCTCAAAACTGTTTAAAATAAAAACTAAATTGGAGGAAAATATTTGCTTTATGTGTCTGACAGAGGATTCTCCTCCAAAACTTATTTCAATTATTTTACAAGTTGGTCGGGAAAAGTCAAATAACACACTAGGAAAATGTTCAAACTGTGAGAATAAGATCCGGGCATGGTGGTGCCCACCTATAATTCCAACACTTTGAGAGACCGAGGTGGGAGGATTACATGGGGCCAGGAGTTTGAGACCAGCCTGGGCAACATGGCGAGACCCCATCTCTACAAAAATATTTGTTTAAATGTAAAAATATGCAATTCATATTAGAAAAAATATAAATGGACAACAGGTACATGGGAAATAAAGGACATCTTTAATAAAAATGAGAGGAATGCAAATTAAAACAAGATATGGTTTTTATAACCAGGTAGGCAAATATTAAGAACCTAAGCACATCTGGTATGGCAGGGCTGTAGAGGAAGCAGTGTCTTCAGACACAACTGGCAGAGGGAGGTCTGAGTTGATGGGGCCATTTGGAAAAACAATCTGGCAGTATTTATTAGAGCTACACGTGCAGGCTCTATGTTCCAGCAATCCCCACTCCCTTACATCAGCTCTAGAGGAACACTTGCCAAGGGGACATGAACGAAAAAATTCATTGTGTGGTGTTTTTCTCTACTGAAAAATTGTGAAGAACCTAAATGCCTTTCAATAGAGTAATGTCTGAATAAACGACAGTATTTTCCTTTTTCTAGAATGCTAAGCAGAACTAAAAAGAAAGCGTTAGATAGATGGATGGATCTCCAAGACATGTTTTGAGATAAAATAACCAGTTGCAGAAAAATTTATACAATGGGATCCAATTTATTTTAAAAATATAGAAAGATATAAACAAATGAAGTATAGAATGATGGAGTCGTATATCTCTATGTAAAAGCACAGGAAAAGGCATGGAATGATACATGTAGCACATAGCTCTGGACGTCCCTGGAGAGACGCTGAAGGTTGTGGGACAGGCAATCAGGAGGTGATGGGGTTTTATGAGGCAAATGAATAATACAGTTGTTTTCTACCCGAGTTGGGAACAGATTAATATATAGATAGGGACCCAAATATCAGCTCTGTGACTGAGGAAGGTGATAATGGAGCAGGTGGCTTAGTTTCATAATCAAGCAGGCTTGCAGTGGTCCTGTTCCTCACCTCCTATCATTTTTTGCTCCCCTGCATTCCCTCCGCACCATCCACCAGCAGGCTAAGCTTTGGGACAGTCCATGAGAAAGGGAGCTTAGTTCTGCATAACCTCTGATTGGAGCCAGAAAATAAAGAGACGGATAGCTCAATCTTACAGCATTTTCATAGATTGGCTCCATCCTCCTTAAAAATATGAGCCAGTGGTCACCACCAACAATTAGTTAATGAGTTGCTCCTTCTCATCCCCAGGAGCAGGGAGGATGGAAGTCGTGGAACACAAGGAGCTCAAGGCCAAGGTTGCTCTCCTGCTTTTACCATTATGACTACTATTGTTCCATGAAGGTGAGTATCACTTACAAGTAACAGTATCACCTACAAGTAATGTTTTTTTAAAAAGAAAATGTATCCATGTAATACACATAAGCAAAACCAAAAGTTCAGTAGAAATCTACAATGATGTTAGGCATTTTTCCCAACAGTAGTTACTTATAAATAATGTTTTGTTTATTTATTATTTATACTTACTTATTTATTATTTATAAATAATGCTTCCAAAAATGATCCTGTTAATATAAAACAAAAATTAAGATATAAAACATGAGAAACTAAACAGCTATGACATGAATTTTCTTTTAAAAGACTGGAAAGCATTTATCTTGTAGAAATTTCAAATAAGCTTTATATCAATATGCACTCAAGATATTGAATAGCATTTGCAAAATAAATTATTAAAATGTCTGATCATTTACTGTGTGCTAGGTATCCTGCTAAACACTTCACATTTTTTTTCGTTTAATCCTTCTATTAATACTATGAGGTTGGCACTCTTTTTCAGTTAAGGAAACTGAGGCTGAGAATGGATAAATATTTGCCTGAGGCCCCGGAAAATGTTGGCCCACTTCTACTGTGTATTTATCTTACTTTTTCTTCATGCATATTCTTTTCTAACTACAGGCCCATTATTTGCTAAGCTGAATAAGAGCATTTTAAATTAAAATAAATTCAGTTGTTTTCTCGGCATATACATTTGCAGCGATTCACAAACTTCAATCTTCATCTACTGAGGAGAAAGAGTTCTTTATTCTTATAAACTATAATTATAAGCATTCAATATTTTCAGAGGAAGAAAATGTATCTGTTTATACTAAGTATTTAAAAATCACCTACGGATTTGCTCTAATTGTCAGTTTCTCCAAAATTATTATTGTTTCTTAATCTCTTAACAAGTAATTATAAATAGATGTGTTGTTATGAAAAATAAGAAAGATATTCGGTGTTTCCTGTATTTCATAAACACCACGTCATTTTCTTTATCAAAATTTCCATTGAAAGATTGTAAGAGCATTAGGCCACCTTCTGGGCTTAAGTGTGTATGAGAAGAAGCCACAACTTCTTTTCCCTCTGGATCACCTCAGGTCTTACTTTACAATGTTACAAATCCACACGAGATTAATATTCAAATCCGTGAACATATCTTTGTTTTCATTTGTGGTAAAGGATCTTTTATTGTAGGTGCTGCTTAATGCTGAATAGGCTTGAAAAAGATGTATCTTCAAGTACAGGTGTAAACAACATGTGATTTCATTAAGATAGACGTAGCTATATTGCAATGATGGCAGTTTGGTCAGTTTCATAGGTCAACAAACATCTGTCAGGGTAAGACCTCATGCTCTGAATATGCAGGCAGTCTTATAATTCTGACTATACATATGTTTATTTTTTGTAACTTAAGCAAAATTTTTTTTAGAGCCAGGCACTGTGGCTCACGCCTGTAATCCCAGCACTTTGGGAGGCCGAGGCAGGTGGATCACGAGGTTAGGAGATCGAGACCATCCTGGCTAACATGGTGAAACCCCATCTCTACTAAAAACACAAAAAATT